>NC_000020.11:5975425-6126941 GCF_000001405.40 Homo sapiens | reverse complement strand
ACTCAATGCAAATAAAAATATATTTTAGGTGTCTGTTGCCGTTTTGAAGTCATCAGACTTCTAGCAGGTTTATAAGCTGAAAACTTAATAGAGAACTTTATATTGGGTAAATATTTATCAAAATCATCAATCAGGAAAAAAAAATCCACTTCTTTTCTCCTTCAAGCAGCTTTCTTATTCTACCTAAATTAACTCTATAGAATTTTTAGCAAAAAGGTGCTAGAGGAAAAAATCATTTGTGTTTAACAAGTTAAAGCAGCAGAGACTTTCAAAGTTCTCTACTCATTTATTTCCCTTTTGTGTTCAGTGAATACGGAATATGGCCACATCTCTCATTCAGTCTAATCTACCCATACCCCAGACATGACATGACTTACTTTTTTTTTTTTTTTTTTTTAACTGAGACAGGGTCTTGCTCTGTCACCCAGGTTAGAGTGCAGTGGTGCAATCATGGCTTACTGCAGCCTGGATCTCCCAGGCTCAAGCGATCCTCCCACCTCAGCCTCCCAAGTAGCTAGGATCACAGGCACATACCACCACACCCAGCTAATTTCTATTATTTTAAAAATTTTTTTCTTCAACTTTTATTTTAAGTTCAGGGGTACATGTGCAGGTTTGTTACGTAGTAAACATGTGCCATGGTGGTTTGCTGCACAGATCATCGCATAATTTTTATGATTTTTTGTTTTTTGGTGGAGATGTGGGTCTCCTTATGCCGCCTGAGCTGGTCTTAAACTCCTGGGCTCGAGCAATCCTACTGTCTTGGCCTCCTAGGTGTTGAGATTACAGGCCTGAACCACCACACCCAGTTGATTTACCTTTTTGAAGGTACTAGTTCAAAGGTGAGTTTATCAGTGTATGGGTAATTGACAACAGATTTTTTTTTCAATATTTGCAACTTGAATGTATAAGATTTCAAAGTCAAGAAATAGAGCTTCTCTTTATCTTCCACCCTTCTGCTACCTGAAGCGCAACTATCTGCTAACTAAAAAAAATATATTAATACCTTAAAACAGTTCTCTAGAAACCTCAGGTTATTATAAGAAACTATGAAGCTCTTATCCAATGTTTCAAATTCCATCTCAAAAATCACCTCCTTTCTGAAGCCTTTTCTCATATTCCCTGCCACTCCAAACACCTGGCAGAAGTAGACACATTCTTCTGTATTCCTTAGCATCCCTCCTATCATCTGAAGACAAAGTGCGTGCCCAGTTAATCTGAGTATTTTCAACATATATTACGATGTCTAGCTCACAGTAATACAGTGACTAGCAAATAAATAATCCATTGCTGATTAATATGTATGAATTAATTAAATAACAGACTCAGTGAATTGATTCTGCTTGTTTTTTAAGGGGGCAAAGGGTGTGCTTTTTTTAATATATATGTACAAAATTTTGAAGTTCAGAATACACTTTTTAACCCACTTCTAACCCAGGACCTTGGGGGATGGGTTGGACCTGTGTCACACAAACGACAGTAACCGTGTAATAAGTAAAACATAAAGTTAAATTAAAAGCCTAGGACAGCCGGCCATGGTGACTCACACCTGCAATCCCAACAATTTAGGAGGCTAAGATGGGAGGATGGCTTGAGCCCAGGAGTTCAAGACCAGCTCAGGCAGCTAAATTTAAAAATTAGCCAGGCACGGTGGTTCACACCTGTAGTCCCAGCTTGGGAGCCTGAGACATCAAGGCTGCAGTGAGCCATGATCATGCCACTGCACTCTGACCTGGGGGAGAGCAAGACCCTTTCTCAAAAAAAAAAAAAAAAAAAAAAGCCTAGGACACATAATATGGATAAAACTCACAAACATAATGTTGAACACAAGAAGCCAGACACAAAATAGTGCACATGGTCTGATTCCATTTATATAAAGTACAAAGACAGGCAAAACCCTTCTGAGGAGTTAGAAGATAAGATAATGGTTATCCTGGGCCTGGGGTCGGGGGTAGGGGCAGGCAGCGGCAGTGATCATAACTGAAAGGAATAACTAAAAGGGGTCACTAACGGGCTTCCGAGGACTGGTGATGTCCTGTTTCTTCAACTGGGCACTCTTTATACGCTAGTGTCTTTATATACTCTGTATACAGGTGTGTTCAGTTTGCGAAAACTCATCAGCTATACATTCACGATTTGTGCTCTTATCTATATATATTGTGTATATGTATGGGTGTGTATATATATGATACACATTTATATACACACAAGTCACTACATAAAATTACAAGTTTAAAAATTAACCTAGGCCAAGAAGAACGCTTAAAACCAGTCGAATTCTTTAGCACAATGCAGATATTTTCAATTGAAAAGAGAAAAACCATATTGGTATGAATAGATAGAGCCATAATTCAAGGTCACACATAAAATCTTGACCACAGGCTGGGCACGGTGGATCACACCTGTAATCTTAACACTTTGGGAGGCCGAGGCAGGTAGATCACAAGGTCAAGAGATCAAGACCATCCTGGCCAACATCATGAAACCTGGTCTCTACTAAAAATACAAAAATTGTAGTCCCAGCTGCTCGGGAGACTGAGGCAGGAGAATCACTTGAACCCGGGAGGCGGAGGGTGCAGCAGTGAGCCAAGATCGTGCCACTGCACTCCTGCCTGGGGACAGAACAAGACTCCATCTCAAAAAAATATATGTGTGTGTGTGTGTGTGTGTGTGTGTGTGTGTGTGTTTGTGCGCGCGCGCGCGCGCGCACTGACCACAGTCTAAGTTCTAATGGGCCATAAGCAGGGTTTCATGATGTTAAGAGGTAGGGAAGTGGGACCAGATGACCCTTCCCATCGTTGACAAACGCTACCAAGTGAAGACATTCTGTTTCAAGTTTTTAATGATTTTATTTCAATTATAATATCCTATATTTGCCAACAATGTTCAACTAACCTTTTTAAATTAAATGTACTTTCAAACCCATAATAATTCCTGAATATGGTAATGTTTAAGCGAAAACAGATTCAACTTCTAAATTTTATAACTTCTTTATTAAAATTTAAGTGTTCACAAGCCTTTTAATGCAAATCGCTAAAGCCTGTACTATATTGCATGAAATCCCTCCGTGGAAGAGCACGCATTCTATCTCTGTACCTATTTCACAGATGAGGAAACTGTCATTTCCATGTCTGTTTTATTAACCACTGTATTCTCTGAGCCCAGGCCCATTGGGAGGCCTGTAGAGCAGTAAGCACTCAACAAATGTGATTAAATGAACAAAGGAGGCTTGGAGAGGTTGTGTAAACTGCCCAGGTCACCCACCCTTCCTGGGTGGCCCCAGCCCTCTTTGAAAATAAATCCAACAGGAAGGCGACTGGCGGGACCGGTGGTGATCCTGAGGTGAGCCATACCAGGTGTGGCCCAGACTTCCGCATGCAGCCTGCCCTTGGGTCTCCTGGAGTCTCCCCTGGTCGGGAGCCTCAGCCTTCTGGAGACTGACACCACCCTCTTACTCAGAGACGAATCGTTTTGTCGTTGCCTTCACCTCCCTGACCACAAGTGCTCCGGGGCTCTTTCTGAGGGAGGCAGCTGTTCTAGGCGGGAGGCTGGAGTCTCCTGGGCCTGGACGCACCCCGGGGTGTGAGTGATGGGTATGCCTGAAAGGAGGGGAAGTGGCGCGGCTTTAATCATCTGGGCTAGTCCCCGGCGGGCCTGGGGGAACAGGGAAACTGGAGGCGGCCTTAAAGCGTCAGGATGAGACATCGCAAGAGGAGCTGCAGATACTGAGCGTGCGCCCCGGGTTCTCGCCGCCTTCTCTCCGCCGAGCAGCCCTTCGGCCACCCTTTGCCCTTAAAAATCTGCAGACTGCGCCTCCTCTCCGCGGGAGCGAGACCTAGCAGGCCCGGGGCTGGGCGTGCCCTCGCCTGCCACGCTGCGCGCTGCCCTCAGCCGGGCCGCTGGGGCCGTGCAGTGCACCGGGCACGCCGCGCCAGGCTGGGGGCAGGCACCGAGCCTCCGTGGGAGGTCCCGAGGCAGCTTCGCCTGCTCGCCCTGGCTCCAGCCCTCACCTGCCGCAGCCTTAGCTGAGCAGCCGCCGCCACTGGGCGCCCCCCGCTCCCCACTTCGCCAGCGCCCGCTCCTCGGCTCGGCCCGGGGTAGTTTGTAGGGACGCAGCTCTCCACGTGCGCGACTGCGAGGCTGGACGCTACGGGCTCCTGGAAAGGAGGTGGGTGCTCCGGAGCTAGGGCTGGGGAGCTAGAGGTTGGGAGGCTTTCATGGGCACCAGTGGCTCCTGAGCCCCCTTAGCCCCTTTCTTTCTGCAGCCTCTTGTACTTAAATAGCTGTTGATTGAAAATAATTTCGTCTGGATGTGACCACCTTCTCCGGCCCTACGCATCTGGCCGCAAAATAAACTTTCAGTTCAGCCGCAGGTGCTGCCTTAATGGGAGTAAGGGGCATGCTTTATCCACCCAACATCCGCCCCAGGATCCTGCAGAGCTGGCAAAAGACAGGTCGGGTGGCCTTCGAACACCAAGCACCTTCAGATATTCCAGGGGAAGGGTCGGGGACTGTTTCCCCCTCATCTTTCCTCCTTCCTGCTCTCCATCCCTCCATGCTTTCGTTTCTTTGACTGTCTGCGAAGGGCTTTTCAGCACTCTGCCAGTAACTTTGCTTCTTGTTTTGGTCTCCTTAGATGCGTTTTCCCGGCTGAAGTTTGCTGCTATCCTTGACAAGTAACAGCTTGCTGCAGACTAGACGTTCACTCAAAAATGAAGGCACAGAAAGATAGGAAAGGAATGCAGGAAAACCAGCTTGGCTAATTTTAGCCTGCATTTTGTTGTAAGGGGAATCAGCATCTATTGCCTGAATGAGTAGTGTTTTGATCACCCAAGTTAGGAAAAGACCTTATATCAGATTGCCCAGTGAAATAAGCAGTAAGGAATCACCTTTAAAAGTTATTTTCTTTATATACAAAACATTTTAAATAACTAGACTTCACAATTATAGCATTTAAGAAATTGTAAGGATCTTAAAGTCGAACAGTTCAATGCCAAGTTATGAGTTTGACGATGAAGGGGCATCTTTTGTCTCCTCACTGCGCAAGATTTGTGTTGATAGAAATGCTTAGTAAAGGCTACTGAGAATTTAGTTCACGTAGTTTGAGGAGTTTTCTTTCATTTTGGCATTGCAACATTATCAAAGTGGTTTCCCAGTGTGGTGAATAAGAGTTTGAAATAGAAAGGCAGACCTGGATTTCCACCTGGGCTCCAGCATCTAACTTGCTGTGTGACCTCAGGCAACTTGCTTCATCTCTCTGAGGCTGAGTTTCCTCATTTCTAAATGAGATTGCTGAGAGGATGAAAAAGGGATAACAGAAGACAGGAGTTAACACAGAGCACATCATACAGTCAGTAGGTAATAAATGATACCTGAAGCTGATGATGACAGAGGCAAGCAGTTAGGCCTAATGCAGTCACTGAGTGGCACTCCTCATGCAGAGGGTTCTGTGTGGATCTCTGTGCATGGGGAGGAGATGCATTGCATCGTTGCATGCTTCTGACTATAGAAACATAAGGAACGGCTGGGCGTGGTGGCCCACGCCTGTAATGCCAGCACTTTGGGAGGCCAAGGCAGGTGGATCACGAGATCAGGAGTTCAAGACCAGCCTGGCCAGCATGGTGAAACCCTGTCTCTACTAAAAATACAAAAATTAACCGGGCGTGGTGGCACACGCCTGTAATCTCAGCTACTTGGGAGGCTGAGGCAGAGAATTGCTTGAACCCGGGAGGCAGAGGTTGCAGTGAGCTAAGATCATGCCACTGCACTCCAGCCTGGGTGACAGAGCAAGACTCCATCTCAAAAAAAACAAAAACAAAACAAAAACATAAGGAGCTACTTCTGAACTCTTGAATTTCATCCTCACCCATAAAATCTGTCCTAAATCTGTTCAGATTTGCAGTATTCAATTTATCTGTGTAGCGTATTTTGAGATTCTCTTATGCTTACAAATGAGTCGTTTCGAATGAACATGCAGAACAGATATGACACTGGTTGTTTAATTATTATTAAAAGTAATGTTCCTCGGATATTACCATCATCCCTGGTTTAATATTGATCTAAATAGGTTGAAGGGAAGAACTGAGTATACCCACAGACCAGCAACATCTGGAGCCTGTTAAGAAATGTATGGCCCCTCCCTAGACCTGCTGAATAGAATCTGCATTTTAATAGGATCCCTGGGGGATTTGTGTACACCCTCAGAGAAGCCCTTTCTTAGGAGTTTGAGTGCATTGATGTTTCTTAAAAATAGGCCTTATGAAAACATGAATTTCTCATAAGCTGGCTTTACATAGTAAAGTGAAAAAGACTCATTATCATTTAAATAATTTTTACTTTAAATGTTTAAAACAGCCAGGAGCAGTAGCATTATTTCTTTCTGTTTAAAAGTAAGAGAGAACTGACATCTCAAGTTTTGTTTCAGTTCTGCCAATTTGGATTCCAGTGTTCCAGTTACCCCCTGAAACATTTCAGTTGTGAACGTTCTTTCCTGCTAGCTTCTCCCATGAGGGGAAAACGATGGGTTTGAAATTCACATCCCTATCTGTACTTTGAAGAGTGAGCTTTTTATATCTGTTACTCCTGTTTTTAAATCTTTTGCCAAAGATGTATCCAAATTTTTAATTGGTGCATTTATAATCAATTTTTATATGACATAGAACAATAAGTAAATCGAATACATGGCAATAATTATTAATGACCTGTATCTATATGTATTTAAGGTAAAACTATATATTATAATGACTGAAATAGGAATTATTTTGCTTTTTTTTATTTTTTGAGCTTTATTATGGGAAGATATACATTTTTGTAGGAGGAATGTAATAATATACATATATTAAAGATATTAAAGATAAGAGGCTTTAATGGCATCCTTTTTAAACATCAACTTTATTGAAGTATAATTTGCATACAACAAAATATGTTGAACTATAGTATATAAAATCTGCGCATTTTATTACATGCAAATTATACCTTAATAAAATTGATTTCTTTAAAAGATAATATGGAAGATTGCCTATTGCCAGAATAGTTGAGAGAAGGTCAAAAGAAGTCAATAGAGAGAAAATGAGGATTGAAGCATTGGGTGGACGAAGGAAATACATAGCCAAGTGGTCTTGGAGAAGTGGGTGAATGGAAAAATGAAGTATGTAAATTTAGATGATTTGAGACCATTTTTATAAAACTTTTTGTCTTCAAAGTTAAGATGCCAAATTTGATATCTGGAGCACCTGGAACCTTGCAGAGTGTTTTGAAGAGGAGGTTACAATGAAAAACAAAACAAAAAAGAAATTTTGCTCTGCAAGTCTACTGACAAGTCCCGTTTCCTTCCCACATTCCAATCTATGTCTGCCTTTTTGTTCAGCAGACACCAGCATTTGCCACAATGCTGTCATCCACTGACTTTACATTTGCTTCCTGGGAGCTTGTGGTCCGCGTTGACCATCCCAATGAAGAGCAGCAGAAAGACGTCACACTGAGAGTATCTGGAGACCTTCATGTTGGAGGAGTGATGCTCAAGTTAGTAGAACAGATCAGTAAGTTACTCTTGCTTTACGGTTTCTCTGTATTAGAAACCCTGTCTGGTGCATCACCACTAATGGCTGGTGTAGGTTTTTCTGATCATTTATCTTGTAATGCCCTGGAGAGCAATCCCCCACCCCTCATCCCAGAGGAGAGAAAGAAATAGCCCAGGCTGGGTGCCGTGGCTCACACCTGTAATCCCAGCACTTGGGGAGGCCAAGGTGTGCGGATCACCTGAGGTCAGGAGATCAAGAACAGGCTGGCCAACATGGCGAAACCCCATCCCTACTAAAAACACAAAAATTAGCCTGGCGTGGCGGTGGGTGCATGTAATCCCAGCTACTCGGAAGCCTGAGGCAGGAGAATCGCTTGAACCCGGGAGGCGGGGGTTGCAGTGAGCCAAGATCGTGCCACTGCACTCCAGCTTGGGTGACAGAGCAAGACTCGGTGTCGGGGGAAAAAAAAAAAAAACCTTGAGTCTTTGGTGGCAAGCTAAATTTCCCAGTAGGTATAATGCTGGACTTCAACAGGGATGGGACCCATTCCACCGGTGACATCTAATGTGACTTTAAGTAGCTTGGCATTAGACTACTGGGTTAACTCTCTGTTAATACTTGAGAGCTTAGTGATAAATTGGTGCTGAGGAGTTTTTCAACACTTATCCACCGTTTACTATGCTCCCTGTTTAAACAAAGAAAGAAATCTTCAGGGTTACACTCTTCACCTTGTAGCGTGTCAGATGTCAACATTATCAACCTAGAATTTAATAACATTCTATTTTCTTTGTGCTTCTTTTGCCTTCTATTTAAGGCCTTAGATGCGGGCTTTTCATTTGCTCTAGCAAGATAGTTTTTTTTTCAGTCCTTATTGACTGACATATAATATACATACAGAAAAATTCACTTATTATAAACAAGGCTTCACTTATCATAAACAGTTCAATGGATTTTCACAAAGTCTTGTAACCACTCAGATCACGAAATAGAACATCAGCTGTTCCCCACCCAAGCCCCATACCCCGACCCCTCCCAGTCACCACTACCAAAGGTAACCACTGTCCTGACTTCTAACACCACAGGAATCATTGCTTGATTTTGAACTTTATACAAATGAGATTATAAAGGATATACTCTTACACATTGACTTTCTTTCACTCAACATTATATCTGTGAGATTTATCCATACTGTTGCATATTGTTTTGGTTCGTTTTCATTACCATATAATATTCCATTGTATGAATATGCCACAATTATTTATCCATTTACCTCTTAATGGACATTTGGGTTGTTTACATTTTCATGCACTTACAGAAAAAGCTGCTGTAACACCTGTCTTTCAGAGATCATTTCTGTTGGGTGGTATAGTTCAGAGAAAAAAAATGCTGATTCATAAGGTTTTCCAAAATAGTTGTGCCAATTTATGCTTCTACTAACAGCATTAAGAGGAGCATTTTCTGGCTGAGAGCAGTGGCTCACGCCTGTAATCCCAGCACTTTGGGAGGCTGAGGTGGGTGGATCACCTGAGGTCAGGAGTTCAAGACCAGCCTGGCCAACATGGTGAAACCCCATCTCTACTAAAAATACAAAAATTTCCTGTAATCCCAGCACTTTGGAAGGCTGAGGTGGGTGGATCACCTGAGGTCAGGAGTTCAAGACCAGCCTGGCCAACATGGTAAAACCCCATCTCTACTAAAAATACAAAAATTTCCTGTAATCCCAGCACTTTGGAAGGCTGAGGTGGGTGGATCACGAGGTCAGGAGTTCGAGACCAGCCTGACCAACATGGTGAAACCACGTCTCTACAAAAAATACAAAAATTAGCTGGGCATGGTGGTGCGTGCCTACAATCCCAGCTACTCAGGAGGCTGAGGCAGGAGAATCACTTGAACACGGGAGGCAGAGGTTGCAGTGAGCTGAGATTACACCACTGCACTCCAGCCTGGGCAACAGAGTGAGACTCCATCTCAAAAAAAAAAAAAAAATTAGACTGACATGGTGGTGCGCACCTGTAATCCCAGCTACTTGGGAGGCTGAGGCAGGAGAATCGCTTGAACCCAGGAGGCAGAAGTTGCAGTGAGCCGAGATCATGCCACTGCACTCCAGCCTGGGCAACAGAGTGAGACTCTGTCTCAAAAAAAAAGAGTTTCTAATTTAAAAGAGAAAGAAAAAATCATTTAAAGAAAAATAAGAAAACAAAGATACTGGTAACTCTTCATTTTGCAAAATAAAAGATTGAAAATTGACTCCAATATTGATGAAGGGTAAAGATTCTATTTTAATGCCAACGTTAAAGGAGGGGAAAGATTGACATTGGTGCTAACATTGAAAGGGAGAAAATATTTTAACTCTGACTTCAATTTGGACACTTTGGATATGGTGGTACTGATAAAGAGTTGGAGATTACTGAGAAGAATGAAATGTCAGTTGTACAGTACTTCTGTGTGGACTTTGATTGGAGGCTATTGCTACTCCCTTGTGACACAGTGGTATAAGGATACATTTCTATAAGAGAAATAATCTTGATTAAACAAAGTCAGATGCTTTCTCAGAAAGGGCCATGGCACAGAGATTTTAGCGAACAGAACTTTAGCATTCATTGTGAACACATTTTTATGTTTCTTTTCCTCCACGGTATCTAAATGTAAATGATGGTAAGATTTAGTCCCTATTTTCCATTTTTTTTTTTTTGAGACAGAGATTTGCTCTTGTTGCCCAAGCTGTAATATAATGGTGTGACCTCGGCTCATTACAATCTCCACTTCCCGGGTTCAAGTGATTCTCCTGCCTCAGCCTCTGGAGTAGCTGGGATTAACAGGTGCGCACCACCACACCTGGCTAATTTTTGTATTTTTAGTAGAGACAGGGTTTTGCCATGTAGGCCGGGCTGGTCTCGAACTCCTGACCTCAGGTGATCGCTTGCATCAGCCTCCCAAAGTGCTGAGATTACAGGTGTGAGCTACAGCACCCGACCCTATTATTTTTTCTTTTTCTTTTTTAATTATTTTATCTTTAAATTTTTTTATTTGATTTAATTTTTTAAATGTTTTTTATTTTACTTTAAGTTCTGGGATACATGTGCAGAACATGCAGGTGTGTTATATACGTATACATGTACCATGATGGTTTGCTGTCCCATCAACCCTGTCATCTACATTAGGTATTTTGCCTAATGCCATCCCAGTCCCTATTTTTTCCCTGGAGACTTTGGAAAGAAGCCAAAAGTTGTTAAGCCTTGAATTGTAAAAGGCCATGAGGAGCTGGAGATCAGTTGTTGGTTTCCATTTTCGCACACAATGAAATTGACTCTGCAGCTCCAGGACCCTCCAAGCTGGGCCCTCTCTCATTTTACTTAATTGTGCTTTCATTTTTGCAGATATATCCCAAGACTGGTCAGACTTTGCTCTTTGGTGGGAACAGAAGCATTGCTGGCTTCTGAAAACCCACTGGACCCTGGACAAATATGGGGTCCAGGCAGATGCAAAGCTTCTCTTCACCCCTCAGCATAAAATGCTGCGCCTTCGTCTGCCGAATTTGAAGATGGTGAGGTTGCGAGTCAGCTTCTCAGCTGTGGTTTTTAAAGCTGTCAGTGATATCTGCAAAATCCTGAGTAAGTACCCAGGAAAGGCCCCTGTGCCCTGTAGACTCTTGCAAAGCTAGACAGGAAAATTATGTGTGCATTCTGCCTACTTCAAGTAATTGCTACAGAACACTCACCTATTAGGAAGCACATGTTTAAGCCCTTCTGGGTATTGCAGCCATTTAAGTGGAGTTAAGCCAAGTGGAACATTATTGGCATAAATCAGGTACATCTCCACAAAGCTTAAAACTATTCCAAAAGAGATTTGTTAATAGACAAGATAAACCACTAAGATTGCCCCCCAAAATTTATTGATCCAAGCTATACTCAAACATTATTGTACAGTATTTAAGATTTAAAGAGTTGTATTAAATACTTAATCACCATAGAGCTATGTGTCTTTATTGTTTTTGAGATAATGGTGTTCCAAAGTCTTAATTGCTTAAGACCTGGCTCAAGTAAATAACTCTGCCCATAAAAATCACTTATGAAGTGATTAAGCAGAAAAGTACACTTAATTGTGAATTTAAACCTAATTATTTATAGATTTGGTATCCTATAATTTAACAGTCGTAAAGACAACACTACCCAAACCAATTTTTCTTTATAAAACTCCATAAAGGGAAGGAAACACCCCATGAAGGTATTCTCATTTTATAATTTTTGAAAGTATTATAGGTGTATTCATTGGTTCCAAAACCAAAAATCAACATTTGAACCCAGAATAGATAATATATAGTGATATATAGTGAGTAATCTATTTTTCCCATTAAACCATAAACTATTCACTCATTCAGCAAATATTTATTGAGCACCTACTGTGTCCCAGGCATTGTGGTGAGTGCTAGGGATATAGTAGCAATACAGAGCTAAAATCCCTGCCACCTGGAGCTTACATTTTAGCAGGCAGAGACAGACACTAACCAATAAATGTAAATGTAACAAATTTTAAAATATAAATGGAACAAGTTAAAAAAGAATATAAGAGGTTAAAATGGGATGGATAGTACCCCAAAAAAGAGAAAAAGTATGAGCAGGATTGGGAATGCCAGGGTTGGGCAGTGGGGGCTGGTATGGTATATGAAGTAGGGTGAGAGCAGAAACCGTTTCCTGAGCATCTCTGCATTCCTCACTCCAGTCACAATGCCTAGCATACAATAACTGTTGAGTGAACAAATGAATGGAAACTTTCATTACAGAATGTAAGTTGCAGTCTTGTCCCTGGTGTGCAAATGGCAAGCATGAGGACACCTTGTGTTTTTGGTAATATTCTAATGAGGATTTGAAAGCAAAGTAAATGATTACATAAAATAGTATATTGCATACACCACAGTGGACTGGAAGCACACATCACAGCTGATACCAAAAATGTAAAGTTTTCAAGTAAACAGAAGCAGTCAGATGTTCTCTTTTCCTGATTATCTCTTTGTAATAGTTTTAAAGGCTCAGCGTGGCATTTCTAATCATTGCATTTTATATCTTATCAATTGAAGTGAAATCAAATGCAGCAGTTTAGTGGTTTTTCCCTTGAAGAACAGAAAAGACACAAATCTTAACCTTGAAGATACAGGTGTTTCTGTTTCATTGTTTTGCTTTTAGTGCTCACAGTGAAATTTTTTATTCATGACCGAGTTTGTGTATAAATTATGCATTTGGAATGGTCACACGTGTGTTGCAACCTGACAATCCTTGGCTGCTGGGGAGAGTCAAGCTAAACTGCTAGGCTCAGTCTCAACACTGAGCAGTATATGAACGAAATGATGAGAGAACTTAATGGAATCAGTGCACTTACCTTCAACAAAGCTGCTCAGAAACTAAAAGTCCAAATTAATTGGTTTTTACCTGGAATGATAGCCACTAGTGTAGTTAAAGGTTATCAGCAATTCTGATCAGCAATTATAAATATATTTGATTAATGGGAGAAATGGGGATTACCATAGTTTCAGTTCCCAGAAGAAGACCCTGAGATAAGGATTCAAGTACAAATAGTTTATTTGGGAGGTGATGCCAGGAAATACTGTTGGGGACAGGGAAGTAAGACTGAAAAGAGAAGAGTGTCACCAATCAGGTTACACTTCAGCAGCTGGTGACCCCTGGGAGACAGTGTAGACACAGCCTCAGGGTAAGGATGTTTATGCAGCACCCTGGATAGTCACTGAAGGTTGCTCTTGGGGAGCATTAATTCCCGGAATATGTGGGCTGTTGCAGTGCAGACCCTGGTGAGCCATCAGAGCAAAGCCTCTGGCAGAAAGATGCATGGTCTAGATTCCGCCAGAAGCCAGGTGTGCTGAAATGGTGAGGACCAAGAAGAAATGGGCAGGGCATGAGGGTGTCACCACAGGGATAAAATGAGCTGATGGGCAATGTGTAAAAGAAAGACGTTCAAGATCTGTGATCTATAAAGAAAAAAGGAAGCAGGACCTTTGTTGGTTGTTTAAAAAACTGGAAAAAGGAAAGGGAGAGGGAGCAAGGAAGGGAAGTCTATTAGTTCATTTTCATGCTGCTGATAAAGACATATCTGAGACTGGGCAATTTACAAAAGAAAGAAGTTTAATGGACTTACAGTTCCACATGGCTGGGGAGGCCTCACAATCATGGAGGAAGGCAAGGAGGAGCAAGTCACGTCTTACATGGATGGCAGCAGGCAAAGAGAGAGCTTGTGCGGGGAAACACCCTATAAAACCATCAGATCTCATGAGACTTATTCACTATCATGAGAACAGCACAGGAAAGACCTGCCCCCATGATTCAATTACCTCCCACTGGGCCCCTCTGACAACACATGGGAATTCAAGATGAGATTTGGGTGGAGACACATCCAAACCATATCAGGAAGAAAGGGGAGAGGGAGGTAAAGTTGGTGGTAAATAGGTAACAAGAATAGCATAATGCTAGTAATGACTGAAGCTGGGGAGCCCATGAAGGGGACATTATACCATTCCCTTTGCTTTAGATACATTTGAAATATTTTTATAATAATTTTTCTAACCAGAAATTTCACTAGACTGAATCTCCCTCCACCGTTTTCTCCCCCCACCTACTTTGGAGGTCTCTGTTCCCCTTTCCCCTTCTGTTTCTTCAAAAGGGATGCAGTTTAGTCCCATTTACTTTTCAGAAATTTCCTGAGAAATGATTTTAAATGCACAAAATGACCCTGAGTCTTAGAAGGAGTTTTCTTTTTACTTTTTCTTCATTTTTAAAAAATATTTATTTCTAGATATTAGAAGATCAGAAGAGCTTTCCTTGTTAAAGCCGTCTGGTGACTATTTTAAGAAGAAGAAGAAAAAAGACAAAAATAATAAGGAACCCATAATTGAAGATATTCTAAACCTGGAGAGTTCTCCAACAGCTTCAGGTTCATCAGGTAAGACTTGTTACAGGTGTTTTGTTGTTTGAACGTACAGTAAAACTCAAGAGAGAAATATATCTCTCCTCCCACCCCCACCAAACAAAGGAGAAATAAAATTGCAGAACTGATGTGATGAGGAAAGGCTATCTAGTCAAGTTTAGAATTAACAGAAATGTGTTTCAGACTTTTTTTCATCAAGCATGTTTAATAACTCATTACTTGAATTGTATATCTGATGTTGCCAATGAATGCAAAATTTTAGTACCACTGACCACAAATTTGGGATAAAAGAGTGATATTTAGAAAACAGGTAACTGGCTGGTCACGGTGCCTCATGCTTGTAATCCCAGCACTTTGGGAGGCTGAGGTGGGTGGATCACTTGAGCTCAGAAGTTTGAGACCAGCCTGGGCAATATGGTGAGACTCCATCTCCATTAAAAATACAAAAAATAAATAAATAAATAACCTGGGCATGCTGCTGCATGCTTGTGGTCCCAGCTACTCAGAAGGCTGAGATGGGAGGATTGCTTGAGCCCTGAGGGTGGAAGTTGCGGTGTGCCAAGATTGTGCCACTGCACTCAGGCTGGGTGACAGAGCAAGACCCTGTCTCAAAAAAAAAAAAAGAAAAGAAAAAAGATAAGTTAAATCACTCAAATACACTTCTCTCTTCATGATTCTATCATTGTGTGATTCTTTCCTGAATTCAGTTTTTTATGGGGCATGCAAGAGGAGGGCAGGTGAAAATTCTGGAGGAGAAGCATCCTTTTCTTTTTATATCAAAACAATCAAATCTCTAGCTTGCTTGCAAGATTGAGGCTTTCTTTCTTCATTTTTTGTTTGTTTGTTTTGTTTTGTTTTTTTAGACAGAGTCTTGCTCTGTCACCCAAGCTGGAGTGCAGTGGCACAATCTCGGCTCATTGCAGCCTCTGCCTCCCGGGCTCAAGTGATTCTCATGCCTCAGCCTCCTGAGTAGCTGGAATTACAGGTGTGCACCATCACACTTGGCTAATTTTTGTATTTTTAGTAGAGACAGGGTTTTGCCATGTTGGCCAGGCTGGTCTCAAACTCCTGGCCTCAAGTGATCCGCCTGCCTCAGCCACCCAAAATGCTGGGATTACAGGAATGAGCCACCACACCCGGCCAAGATTGAGGGCTTTCTTGCATAGTGTATTCCAATGAAAAGAACAAATTGTACAAATTAGAGCCAGCTGATTTATAAATCATCAGCCTACTGAATTCTTAAAATTGGCAAGTCCTGCTATTTGTTTAAGGGGCTACCTGAAACATATTGGGTACATGCATTCTATGAGGTCTCCAGTTCTCTAATAGTGCCAAGACTCCTACTGAAATAGGAAAACTGTGAATTATTAGAAAAGAGGTGGTCTCCATTAGCCGGGTGTGGTGGCTCATGCCTGTAATTCCAGCTATTCAGGAGGCTCAGACAGGAGAGTCACTTGAACCTGGGAGGTTGAGGTTGCAGTGAGCCAGGATCACACCACAGCACTCCAGCCTGGGCGACAGAGTGAGACTCCGTCTAAAAAACAAAAGAAAGAAAAGAGGTGGTCCCCAATGTTTGTCCCTGTTGATTTTTGAAGGCTTTTACATATTTGAGTTCCAAGGCTTTTGAGGAGCTGAATTTACAGATAAGACCATTACCTGTGTATTACTAATCTCTGTACCATCATGATCCATATTATTTTTTGGGTTTTGTTTGTTTGTTTGTTTGTTTTTTGAGATGAAGTCTTGCTATGTTGCCCTGGCTGGTCTCAAACTCCTAGGCTCAAACAATTCTCCAACCTCAGCCTCCCAAGTAGCTAGGATTATAGACGCGGGCCACAGTGCCCAGCTTGACTTATATTATTTTAAATGGTGCCAAATTTAAAGTCAAAACTCATTTTAGTGTAAGTAATGTTAATATTTTCTTGAAGATTTATATCCCTGGATTCTCATATCATAGTTCTTGATCCCCCTGCCTTGCAGTAAGTCCTGGTTTATACAGTAAAACCATGACCCCTATATATGACCCCATCAATGGAACACCAGCATCATCCACCATGACTTGGTTCAGTGACAGCCCTTTGACGGAACAAAACTGCAGCATCCTCGCATTCAGCCAACCCCCCCAGTCCCCAGAAGCACTTGCGGATATGTACCAGCCTCGGTCTCTGGTTGATAAAGCCAAGCTCAATGCAGGGTAAGGACACGGCTCCTTTTACTTCTCTCTGAGCTAGTGCCGACACAGTAAGAGATGGGATGTCACGTTTCATTTTCAAGTTGGTAGGCCTAGGGATTGTGCTTTATTTGCAAAAGTTAGTGCTGATTTTAGCAACAAAGGGGAAAAATTCAGCCTTTGGTCATTTCAGTATATTTAAAGTGTGCCTAAATTTACATGTTTGGGTAACTCAGTAGATTTACTATCTGTGAATACTAATTCTTTACCACTACAGATATGCAAAGTATATTTTGTGGGATGTAGGGTAGTTAATAAGTGTGTTGGTCCCCATGGGCCAGTGGGATAAATCCAAGGTGACCCACCAGGCTTACATTGTCTTTTGTAGAATGTCACTCTTCTCTTTTTTTTTTTTTTTTGAGATGGAGTTTTGCTCTTGTTGCCCAGGCTGGAGTGCAATGGCGCAATCTCAGCTCACCACAATCTCTGCCCCCCTGGGTTCAAGCAATTCTCCTGCCTCAGCTTTCTGAGTAGCTGGGATTACAGGCATGCGCCACCATGCCCAGCTAAATTTGTATTTTTTTAGTAGAGATTGGGTTTCTCCATGTTGGTCAGGCTGGTCTCGAACTCCTGACCTCAGGTAATCTGCCCACCTTGGCCTCCCAAAGTGCTGGGATTACAGGCATGAGCCACCGCGCCCAGCTGTCGCTCTTCTCTTTAGGCATTCTAATGAGCAACTTCCTTGAGCTCTGTTTGAAATGGTCTCAGAAAATACACCCAAACTATTTCTGAAACTACCATTTCTGTTGTTCCCCATTGCCTACCAGATAAAGTCAAACTCGTCAACAGCATTCACCTTCCTAGAAGATCTGGCCCCAACAGGTGTCTCCGTGTCCTCCCATGCTCCCATGGCCCCGTGCCGCCTGGGTGCACACTCATTCTTTCTGTCACTGCCTCACCTCCAGGACCATTCCCCTTTACCAACTGTTCAGTCCCTACCTGTCATTTAAGGCCCAACCACATGCTGTCTCCTGCTCAAGTATTACCTTCAAGATCGGCCCCCTCCTTGTAGCTCTGTCCTGACACTTTGCTCACTCCAACATCACATTGTCCCTTTATTTGAGGCTTGGTCTCCCCCAGCAGACTGTCAACTCTTTTAGGATGGTGATTTTGTGTTGGTCATCCTCTTTCCCCAGTTTTTATTTCTCAACTCTAGAACTCTACTATGCATTGTACAGGAACCCCTAGCCACATGTGGATATCTAAATGTGGACAGGATTTTAAATTAATTAAAATTAAAATGTGGCACTAACAGCCACATTCAGCTGGGGCTAATGCATCAGACAGCACAGATATGAATATTTCTCTCATTGCAGAAAGTTCTAGACAGTAATACAGAGCTGGCATTGGGGCAAACCATCTGGTAAAAGGAGAAGTGGTGCAGGTAGTCAGGACGTATGGATTCTCAAGCTGGCCCCATAACCAAGCCTGTGACTTTTTTTTTTTTTTTTTGAGACAGAGTCTCTGTTGCCTAGGCTGGAGTGCAATGGCATGATCTCGGCTCACTGCAACCTCCACCTCCCGGGTTCAAACAATTTTCCTGCCTGCCTCAGCCTCCCAAGTAGCTGAGATTACAGCCATGTGCCACAACACCTGGCTAATTTTTGCGTTTTTAGTAGAGACAGGGTTTCACCATGTTGCCCAGGCTGGTCTCAAACTCCTGACCTCAGGTGATTCACCCGCCTTGGCCTCCCAAGGTGCTGGAATTACAGGTATGAGTCCCCGCACCCTGCTGAGGCCTGTGATCTTTAAGGATGATCTAATGTCACTCAGACTAAGTCTCTTTGTCTACAAAGCTGAGATAATAAGAACTGCCCTGGCCCCTTCATTGGATTACTTTAGAGTATCCATGAGAAAAAAATCTATAAAGCACTTTGAAGACTGTAAGATAAAATGCAAATATAAGCTATTATTATGTGCTTACTGATTTTTTGTTATACAGGTTCAGTATCCCTTATCCAAAATGCTTGAGACCAGAAGTGTTTTGAATTTCAGAATTTGTTTTTTACACTTTTTCAGGTTTGGGGATATTTGCATTATACTCACCAGTTGAGCATCCCTAATCCAAAATTCTGAAATTCAAAATGCTTCAGCGAGGCCGTGCACAGTGGCCCACGCCTGTAATCCCAGCACATTGGGAGGCCAAGGCAGGCAGATCACCTGAGGTCAGGGGTTCAAGACTAGCCTGGCCAACATGGCAAAACCCCCTCTCTACTGAAAATAAAAAATTTAGCCGGGCATGGTGGCATGCACCTGTAGCCCCAGCTACTCGTGAGGCTGAGGCAAGAGAATCGCTTGAACCTGGGAGGCAGAGGCTGCAGTGAGCCGAGACTGCACCACTGCACTAAAGCCTAGGTGATAGAGCAAGACTCTGGCTCAAAAACAAAACAAAACAAAGCAGAACAAAATGCTTCAGTGAGCATTTCCTTTGAGCCTCAGGTCAGTGCTCAGAAAGTGTCAGATTTTGGAGAATTTCAGATTTTCAAATTAGTGATACTCAATCTGTATTACATACCCTGATTTTGTTCAAGGATATATATATGTAGTATATAATATATGACATAATAATATAATGGATATATATGTAAAATTGACTGGCTTCTAAAACTCATGCTGTCATTTTCTAGTTGGCTAGACTCCTCACGCTCCCTTATGGAACAAGGCATCCAAGAGGATGAGCAGCTGCTCTTACGATTTAAATATTATTCTTTCTTCGACTTGAATCCTAAAGTAAGCAACTTTTTCTCTTTTGTCTTTCTCTTTTTAATATGAATGCATGAAAGGATAAAATGGAGGCATTTGCTTATGAAAATTAGGATGAATTTATTTGTGTGATCGCCTGTTTAGCCCTGCAGGGTGAGACTGATACATGGACCCTGGTCTCTGAATTTTTATCCTTTGGTCGCTACTGAGCACAGTAAGCTGCTACCAAATTAGCCGGAGTCTCTGAGGATCTTTGCGCCTAGCGTGGCATGCACTGCCCCCCTCCATTTGCAGGAATGGTCAAACAAGATGGGAGTGGCTCAGAGAGCTGGAGTTCTTTTTTTTTTTTTTTTTTTTTTGGTTGAGACAGAGTCTTGCTCTGTCACCCAGGCTGGAGTGCAGTGGCACGATCTTGGCTGACTGCAACCTCCACCTCCCGGGTTCAAGCGATTCTTTTGCCTCAGCCTCCTGAGTAGCTGGAACTACAGGCTCATGCAACCATGCCCAGCTAATTTTTATGTTTTTAGTAAAGACGGGGTTTCACTATATTGGCCAGGTTGGTCTCGAACTACTGACCTCATGATCCTCCCACCTCGGCCTCCCAAAGTGCTGGGATTACAGGCATGAGCCATCGCATCTGGCCAGAACTGAAGTTCTTAATGCTGAGGAAGGAAAGGAGTTGTCAGAGGTCAGGTTTAAAGGCAGGTTCCCATGAACAAGCTAGGATCACATGATGGTGCACATAGGACTCCACACTCCAGTGCTTGCTTACTCTTTGGAACTGAGGGAAAGGGATCATCTATGTAATGCCTTTTTCTCACCTGGTCACCCAGCTGGTCACCAATTCTATTTTCACTGCACATCTCCCCCTGAAGTCTATTAGAATAACAAATGAGGGGTGAGATAAGTCCTTTGAACTTCTGCCTCTTCCTTCCTTCTGATGAGCCCTTTTGAAGAGCTGAGAGTCAGCGGTACAATGGCCCAGTGTCGACGATATAAACTGGATGACTGGTCCTCTGAGTGCGCAGGGTCACTGTGTTGCATGCTCCCATCACTGTTTTGTGCCTGTTGCTCTTTTCCATTTACTGCCAGACACTTGGAGGAGCTTGCCTTGGTCAGCCTTTCTGTACAGACCCTTTCTCATCTACACCAGCATTTCCACCTCTTGTAAGAGGCACTGTCTTCTTCTTGGTCCTGACTTTAGGTCTGGTCTGCAAAGGCTCACCTCAGCTTCCACTGTTTCCCCAACTGCCATCTTCAAAACAAACCTTGTCCCTTGTCATTTCTAAGGAGAGGTTCCTGCTCAGTCCTTGATTTTTATCCTGTGGACCAAGCTTGTGTCTGGAATGCATAAGTGAATCATGGCAAAAGGGCAAATTTTGGCTTTTCTTCGATAAAATCTCCAGGAGAAATTACTGTACTGCTTCTCCTACGCAATTGGCTTGGCTTTTTTTTAACTCTACTGTGAATTTGCAACTGTCCAGGTTTTTTGTTTTTGTTTTTGTTTTTTCATTGCCTGCTAAAACCAAATCCATACTTTTTTGTGATTTTATATTTAAGCCTCATTCATGACTCAACTTTAGCATTTCCTTGCTTAACTCTTAATTTAAGCTATCTTGTTGTATGCCATCTATTCTAATAAACTGCCTTACATTTTTTCTGAAAATAGATAACACATACATAAAATATGCCCATGCATTTTCCAGTTACTAAGTCAGTAATTTGGTCCCATCTTATCTATTCAAATCTGTGCCCCATCTGTTGTTTGTTTGTGTGTTTATTTATTGAGCAACTACTGTAGGCCAAGAACTAAGCTGGGTACTGAGAACTCAAAACTGTTGTATATTAAAATAATGTTTTCAAATTAATGAGATAAAATACATAGGACTACAAAATGAAACACTTATATTAAACTGTAGTAGCCAAACCCTTTTTGAAAATGTATATAGTAATATATTTTTAGTTAATTGAATAAAGAAGATTTGTAGTTCTCATAACCACCATAATTTCAAAGTAGTGATGTGGGTGAGCCTTGCTTGAAGACAGCAGCAACAACTGGCATACAGAAGGAACAAAATCTTGATTCTGGTGGTCACAGAGTGACAAGTACTCTGCAATGCTGTGGTTTAGCATCCTGAGAGGAAATGCTAAATTTCCATTCGAAGTCGATGCAATTGGAGAGGTTGTGTTTCCTCATACAAGCTTGTGGACCACCTGATAATCAAACTTCCAAGTCTGAGAACCCCAGAATCAGAACCCTGCTCTGAGACCACATTCAGGTTCCACTCTTTCCAGAAAGGAGCTTTTCTCTACTCTCGGTCACATGGGCCTTTGCCTTCTCTGAGCCACAGCTGAGTACTGTACAATTTCAGGACTCACTCCTCTAATCACACCACATCTGTGGATTTTTTTCTACAAATAGACAATCAAGTCCTTGGAGACAGAGACTGCATCTGGTACTTTCTTTGCCCCTCACCCCACACGCTGTGAGTCAGGCTTTCCCAGTTCAGGCACCTGATGGATGATAGGATCACTCAGCCCAAGGACTCATAGGGTCCTTGGGGACCCTTCCAGCAGTTTCTTTGCCAAGAGACTCCCCCGATTCAATCCGCTGCTTCAGAACTAAGCTTGAGCTAAAAAGAATGCAGCTGAGTCATCTGCCCCCTGAAAAACCATTAGGAACATGTAAGTGACTTCACAGTCAAATAAGCCAGATAATGGCAGATCATTGGTATAAATATAGAGGAGCAGGGTTAAATATGTATTTGTCTAAAAAGTGGAAGAAATCAAACGAATCGTACTCCAGAAGGGGACAAGGACACTGAAGCTGAGGGTCACAAGGGCTGTTGTCTCTGGCTCTTTGGCCTCCAGCCTCTGCCCGCTTAATTGGTGAGGAGCTCCCTCTTCATAGCCTAAAAAGTGAAACCGATTTGAATCTAACAGCCACACAGAAACTGTCAACCCAAAGGTGACAGGAAGACTCAGGATAATGGGACATGGCATTGGAGGACACTGTGATCCTCAACCACTTTAGTACTTATGGCAGTATTCCCTTCCCCCTCTCTCAAAATTATGAGTGCTATAGATAAAATCAAGTTTAAGACTCCTACTCTGTGCTGCATAAATAGAGGGATATAGAAATTTTAGATGTAATTTGTGTTCTCGTGGCAGCTACAATCAAATCTAAGAAGAAGAAAGAACACCCATGAAGCCACTGCAAATTTACAAGGCACCCTACAAGTAGAAACTAAAATCTACAGTGAGGACTAGAGAGCTTCTCTGGCTTTCAGAGAGATTCATACTGGCCACAGGTCCTTAGTAACAGGTGCTGATTAAAATCTCAGATACGTAAAATGCTAGAATTCAACATTTCAAAAATAATAGACTCAGCCGGGCGCAGGGGCTCATGCCTGTAATCACAGTACTTTGGGAGGCTGAGGCGGGTGGATCGCCTGAGGTTAGAAGTTCGAGACTAGCCTGGCCAACATGGTGAAACCCCATCTCTACTAAAAATACAAAAATTAGCCAGGCATGATGGCATGTGCCTGCAATCCCAGCTACTTGGGAGAACGAGGCAGGAGAATCACTTGAACCCGGGAAGCAGAGGTTGCAGTGAGCCGAGATCATGCTGTTGCACTACAGCCTGGGCAATGAGAGCAAAACTCTGTCTCAAAAAATAAATAAAATAATAATAATAATAATAGACTCAAAAAATGAAGAATCCAGAAAAGATTGGTACATTTTAATAAAAAATGAAAATTGTACATCTGGCCAAAAAAAAAAAAAAAAAACTATAACAAAGTAAAAGTCTTTACAACACATACTACAAACAAAAGATGAATTTCTCTAATATGTAAAGAGCTCCTAAAAATCAGTAATAAGAAGACCAACAACCCAGAAGACTAATGAGCAAAGGATGTAAATATATAGTTCATAGAAAATGAACTACAATGCTTTACAGTGGCAAAGATCAAAAAGTTACATACTATCTTGGCAAGAGTGTCAGGAAATGGGCTCTGTCATAGACTGCTTGCAGGTCAAAGTATAAATTAGTCTATAGAGGGCAATTTGGCAGTATCAGAATTACAGTTCTACATAGCTTTGATTCAGCAAATCCACTCCTAGGTGTTTATAGCACAGTTATACTCACACATGCAAACTGACATGTAGGTATACAGGGGCGGTTATTATATTGTTTTAGGAAAAGACTGGAAACCACCTAAATGTCCATAGCTACAGAATTGGTTAAATACATTATGATACATTCATACCATATTGTTTTTAAAAAGAATGAATCAGCTCTTTTTTGATATGAAACAGACTCCAGGTGCATTATTAAAAGATGCAAAACAGCCCATAGAGAAACTACCATTTCCAGGGAACAAGGTAGAGAGGGGGACTAACTTTTTATTGAACACTCTTTTGTCCCTTTCAAATTCATTCATAATGAATTCATTTATCACATACCTTTTGCCCCTTTTTAAATGTGTTCAAAATTTGTGAATTAAAAAAACACACATTTTAGAACTCTGATAGTTCATAGTATTTTAGTGTTCAGTACAGGAAAAGCACATCTGTTCTAAAAAGAGGCTTGGAAGATACTGAAAGCTGCTCCTGGGCCAATAGAGAATCTTAAATAATTAGATCTAAATAGTAACCCCTTCTTAAGAAAGAGCAAGAAAACTATGCTAAGTAGGTTTTGTTATTTATTTTTATTGTTGGTTGTTGGAATGATGGACGAGGGTGGAGGGTTTACTGAACTGACTAGACAGGGAGAAACAGGGATTCAAGGAGTGAAGGAGTGGAGAGGTGGCAGAACTCATGTGGTTTCCAGCTTGAGGTTTCTATTTTCTTTTCTTTTTTTTTTTTTTTTTTTTTTCTTGAGACACAGTTTCACTCTGTCACCTAGGCTGGGGTACAGTGGCACGATCTTGGCTCAATGCAACCTCTGCCTCCCAGGTTCAAGCGATTCTCCTGCCTCAGCCTCCCGAGTAGCTGGGACTACAGGCATGCACCACCACGCCCAGCTAATTTTTGTATTTTTAGTAGAGATGGGGTTTCACCATGTTGGCCAGGCTGGTCCCAAACTCCTGACCTCAAGAGATCCTCCTGCCTCAGCCTCCCAAAGTGCTGGGATTACAGGCTTGAGCCACCGTGCCCATCTCTATTTTCAATTAAGCAAAGAAAAGGGCCAAGGAGAGGGTATGAGTAGCCAACCCCACCAAGGAAAAAATTTGTTTCTAAGTCACTGGAGAACCCACTGAAAGAGTTCTCGGGGTGGGGGTATTGGGGGGAAGTCCTATAGGATGCCTGTCAATGACCTGTGAAAGATCTGGAACATTGTGATGCAGCATTGTCTCTGGAGAAATGGGAACAGGCCTCCAGAGAGGGAACTCCCAGCTACTAGGGAGGCTGAGGCAGGAGTATTGCTGGAGCCCAGGAGTTCGAGGCTGCAGTGAGCTATGATTGCACCACTGCACTACACCCTGCATGACAGGGTGAGACCGTGCCTCTAAAAAACAGTAGGCGGATGGTTAAGATGGTAAATATTATGTTACATATATTTTACCACAATTAAATTAATTTTTTAAAACTCAAACATAGGGCGGGCACAGTGGCTCACGCCTGTAATCCCAGCACTTTGGGAGGCTGAGGCAGGTGGATTGTCTGAGGTCAGGAGTTTGAGACCAGCCTTGGCAGCATGGTGAAATCCTGTCTCTACTAAAAATACAAAAAAAATTAGCGGAGCATGGAGGCGGGCTCGTGTAATCCCAGCTACTCGGGAAGCTGAGGCAGGAGAATCACTTGAACCTGGGAGGCAGAGGTTGCAGTGAGCTGAGATCGCGCCATTGCACTCCAGCCTGGGCAACAGAGCAAGAGTCCATCTCAAAAATAAATAAACAAACAAACATAATAAGAAAGAAATTATTTAGAGTAAAAATGGAAAACAGTTCTGTATCATGACCATTCTCCTAAGAGGCAGCCACAGTTAGCTTCATGACCAACCATCCTTGCAGACTTGTTTAGACATGTTTACAAACATATTTTTGAATAGATTTTCAAGACTTTGTGTTCCCTAGATAAGTAGGATCATTTGTTTTCTCTGTAGCTTGCTTCTTTTTACTTCAAAACATATCATGGCTATCTTTCATGTCAGTATAAGTAAGTCAGACTCACTTTTTTTAACCACTGAAAAAAAATCAAAGGAAAGGCTAAATAAACTGTAGTTTATCAGGACCTAAGTGTGCTGAACATTCTTGTAAAAGTATCTCGCAAGTGCTTGCATTTCTTTGGAACAGTAACACTGGATGTGCTTATCAAAGGGCAAAACGATACTAAAAGCTTAAAGCTTTATGTCACCAAATTACCTTTCTACTAACGGCATCTGTGAAAGGGCTGATATCCCCACATCCTCACCAACATCAAACATTATCAGTATTTGTAATGTAGGTAGATGTGATAGGAAAATGGAAATTAGGTCATCTTGTTTTCGTTTGAATTCTCTAGTAATTAGTGAGATTGAGCATCTTTTCCAATGTTTTTATGGCCATTTTGCTTTCTTCTGTGAACTACCTGTTTATATATTTGCCACAAACTCTATTAAATTATTTATATGTTTCATATGATTTATAGGAGTACTGTGTATATGATGGACATCATTTTTTATATTTATTACAAACTTTTTTAATTATTCAAATATTTCAAATATTTTTTCAATCTGTATCCTATATTTTATAAATTTGTAACCTTCTTTAGGATATTTTTTACCATTAAAAATGTTTAATTTTAGGTTGTCAAGCCAGCCTTATGCATCACAACTTTTAGGCCTCTTGTCTTGCTTAGAATAGACTTCCCCATTTAAAGATTACAGAAAGTATTCCCTCATGTGTCCATCTAATAATAGTCATGGTTTTTCTGTTTAGCTGTTTTATAATAGCTTTTTGAGATATAATTTACATGCCATACATTTACCTGTTTAATATGTACAATTCAGTGGTTTTTAGTATATTCAGAGTTGTGCAACCATTAACCACCATCTAATTTCAGAACATTTTCATCACCGCAGTAAGAAACTCCATACCCATTAGCGGTCACTCCCCAGTTCCCTCCTACCCTCCCAGCCCTGAGTAATCATCAGTCTGTTTTCTGTCTCTGTGGATTTGCCTATTCTGGAAACTTCCTATAAGTGGAATTACACAAAATGTGGTACTTTATGAATAATTTTTTTCACTTAGCATAGTATTTTCAGAATTCATTCATTCATTCCTATTGTAGCATGTATCATATTTTATGTCTTTTTAATGCTAACTAATATTTCCTTGTTTATGTATACTACATTCATTCATCAATCAATGAACATTTGGATTGTTTTCACTGTTTGACTATTATGAATAATACTGCCATGAATATTCATGTATACATTTGGGATTTTTTCTTTGACTTTTTTATTGTAAAATATACATAATGTTTATCATTTTAACCATTTTTAGATGTACAATTCAGTAGCATTAAGGATAGTCACAGTGTTGTGCAACTATTACCACTATCCATTTTCTCTCTCTTTTTTTTTTTTCTGAGATAGTCTCTCTCTGTCACCCAGGCTGTGATCATAGCTCCCTGTAGCCTCAAACTCCTGGGCTCAAGCAATCCTCCCACCTCAGCCTCCTGAGTAGCTGGAACAAGTGCATGCCACCATGCCTGGATAATTTTTTTTTTTTTTTTTTTTTTAGAAACAGTGACTCATCATGTTGCCTAGGGTGGTCTTGAATTCCTGGCCTCAGGCAATCCTCCTGCCTCAACCTCCCAAGTCGCTGGGACTAGTGACAAGAGCCACTTTTTTAAAAAAATAGAGACAAGAGTCTTGCTACATTGCCCAGGTTGGGCCACTGTCCATTTTCAAAACTTTCTTACCATCCCAAAAAGAAAGTCTGTACCTATTAAACAATAATTCTCCATTGCCTTCTCTCTTTTGCCCCTGGTAATCTCTATTCTACTTTCTGTCTTTATGAATTTGCCTATTCTAGATAGTTTATATAAGTGAAGTCATCCAGTATTTGTTTTTTTGTATTTGGCTTATTTCACTTAGCATAGCATCTTCAAGCTTCATTCATATTGTATCAAGTATCAGAATTTAATTCCTTTTTTTTTTTTTTTCGAGACAGTCTCACTCTTGTTGCCCAGGCTAGAGTGCAGTGCTGCAATCTTGGCTCACTGAAACCTCTGCCTCCCAGGTTCAAGTGATTCTCCCACCTCACCCTCCCCCAAGTAGCTGGGATTACATGCACCTGCCACCATGCCTGGCTAATTTTTGTATTTTTAGTAGAGACGGGGTTTCACCATGTTGGCCAGGCGTGTCTCAAACTCCTGACCTCAAGTGATCTGCCCACCTCTGCCTCCCAAAGTGCTGGGATTACAGGTGTGAGCCACTGTGCCCAGCCAGAATTTCATTCCTTTTTAAGGCTGAATAGCGTTCTATTGTATGTGGACAGCACATTTTATTTATCCATTCTGCTGTTTCTACCTTTTGGCTATTATGAATATTGCTGCTGTAAACATTGTTGTACAAGTATGTGTTTGGATGCCACTTTCAGTTTGTTTGGGTGTACAGCTAGGAGTAGGATTGATGGATTATATTCTATGTTTAACTTTTTAAAGAACTGCCAAACTTTTCTACAGAGGCTGCATCATTTTACACCTAGCAGTGCACAAGGGCTCCAATTTCTCCACAGCCTCACCAACACTGGTTATTACCTGTCTTTTAGATAAGAGCCATTCTAGTAGGTGTGAAGTAGTATCTTATTGTGGTTTTATATGTTTAAATTATTTAATCCATCTGTAATTTATATTTTTGGATAGTGTAAAGTTATTTTTTGTTTCAATTTGTGTTCCAAGTGGCTAGGCATTTTCAACACTGTTTATAGTGTTGAATTCTTCCTTCCCCTGCTGGTGTAAAATGTCATTTTTATATTTTAATATAAAATTAATATTTTATATTAAATTTATATACATATATAAGTCTGTTTCTAGATAAGGCTTTATTGATACTTTATCAATCATTACACCAGTACCATACCATTTTAATTACTGCAACTTTATAATAGGTTTTAATATCTGGGAGGAGAAGTGCTTTACTCAACATTGTTCTTTTTCAATTTCTTGGCAATATTTGAACATTATGTCTTCCACCAGCCTCAACTTGAGAATCAGCTTGTATAAAGTTTCATTTAAAAAATCCTATCGGATTCTGCTTGGGATTGCACTGGGCTTGCAGATCAGCATGGGGATCCCTTCTATTACACTGTTTACTTATTACACTGTTTATCATATAAACCATTTTTACTATCTATTACTACCAATATGTAGTAATAAAAGAGAGAGAAAATAATGGAATCAAATTTGGGTTGTGAAGAAGCAGCAGCAGCCCTGGAAGTAAAATGGGCCAGAGGGCCAGGCGCAGTGGCTCACGCCTGTAATTCCAGCACTTTGTGGGGCTGAGATGGGTAGGTCGTTTGAGCACAGGAGTTTGAGACCAGCCTGGGCAACATGGCGAAACCATCTCTACAAAAAAACACAAACATTAGCCAGGTGTGGTGGCACATGCCTGTAGTCCCAGCTACTTGGGAGGCTGGGGCACAAGAATTGCATGAACCCAGGAGGCGGACGTTGCAGTGAGCCAAGATTGCACTACTGTACTCCAGCCTAGGCGACAGAGTGAGACCCTGTCTCAAAAAAATAAAAAATTAAAAAAAAAAAAACTTTAAAAAAAAAGTGCTGAGTATATGGCACAATAGAAGTATTCCTTTCACTTACCTGAGCTGAAGTTTGCTGCATCTGATTAACAGAGAATGGCCTCAGTTGTTTCAGAATCTTTGTATTGTGGGATATAAATATACCTCATTACACACACACCTCTGTTTTTGTCTCTAGTATGATGCTGTCCGAATAAACCAACTCTATGAGCAAGCCAGGTGGGCCATTCTCTTAGAAGAAATTGATTGCACAGAGGAAGAAATGTTGATCTTTGCAGCTCTACAGGTATGGGAACTTCAGTACCTTTTCTCTGGAAGGAGACAAACCAAGTTTGTTCTGCTTGAAGTTTCATATGCTTCATACTGGTTTTTTTTTGTTCTTTGAAGAAATATCTGAAAATAAGGAGAGCAATTGTTTTCTGTATTTTTTATTTTGCTTTCTTCTTCAGACCAGAACAAATTTTTAATTTAAAATGCTCCTCATAATCCACACACGCTCACATCCTCTGTAAGACACTAGTCTTGCAATTATTATCTCTTCCCTACTGTGAGCACAATCAGTGATGAGAAAGAGCCAGTTGTAACATGACTAACCATGAACCTCAGAACGATTCAGGTTAAAATGTCATTTTCCCCACACGGGAAGGAGACCTCTGTTTAGGAGATGTTCAGTATTCCAAGGGAATAGTCCTCAAAGAAAAAAATGGCTAATGGATTCATTTATATTTATAACATTTCTGTTTATAACATTTCTAAAACGTCTGTTTTCATTTTAGTACCACATTAGCAAACTGTCGTTGTCTGCTGAAACACAGGATTTTGCAGGCGAGTCCGAGGTTGATGAAATAGAAGCGGCGCTTTCTAATTTGGAAGTAACCCTAGAAGGTGGAAAAGCGGACAGCCTTTTGGTATGAACTTTTTCTGATCACCCAGAACTGTGGCTTTCTTCTGATTGACAAGTATAAATGAACTTTTCTTTATTAGAAGAGAATATTTCATCTGATTTTGAAAAAAAAAAAAAAAAAAAGATGCTCTTCACCTAACAAGCTTCAACCTAGTGAACTAACTTTTCATGGGTTAGCTCCACAAGGGACTATATTTTCATCTCTACTAATGACAATACTTTTGTGTTATATTTCTTCCTAGAGGTAAGTTGGCATGGTGTGAAGGAGCCACTGCTGAGGGCTCCACTTCACTAGCATGGAATGTGGACTTGGTCCCTAAACTTAAGTCTAGAAAATACCACCCTGTCTATTACATGGAGCAGCTGTGAGAATAGAATAAAGAAAATTGTTTCCTTTTTTCTTTTTTCTGAGACAATCAGTAGTGCAATCAAGGCTCACTGCAGCCTCAGCCTCCTGGGCTCAAGCAGTCCTCCCATCTCAGCCTCCGGAGTAGCTGGGACTACAGACACACACTACTGTGCCTGGCTAATTTTTGTATTTTTTGTAGAGACAAGGTTTGCCATATTCCCCAGGCTGGTCTCTAACTCCAGGGCTCAAGTGACTCTCCCACCTCAGCATCCCAAAGTGTTGAGATTACAGGCATGAGCCACTGTGACCGGCCAAGAAAATTCTTTACCGATAAAAACCTTATTTCTATTTACTTGGTCATCCATTTCAACCAGACAAGCTTGACCAAAGTTGTGGCCTTTTTCTGGAACATTGCAAAAAGTTTCTGAATGCTTTTGACTTCAGGAGACAAACGAAAACCCTCCAATAAAACAAAGAAAACTGTTTTGTCATCTCTTTCTCCTTATCCATGAAAGGTGAATGTCAGCTTTATAACTGAAATGCCCCTCCTGTTTAATTCACTCATGAGGTGCCACACTTTTGTTTAACTTCGGCCATGGGAATAATTATTAATCACATTGAATCAGAGAGGTGGGTCCACCATAATTAGATGTAAGCAGTAATCATGGATTAGAATTAGTTACTATATTCTTCTGCATTCAATGTATGTTCTCTTATCATTAAATGTCCTAAAATAAGAAACTGGTCTCATTCAGGAGCAAATACTTCGTGCAAACTAAACGCCAAGATTCTGTAGAGATGCAGGGCCCTGTGTCACGTTTATAGAAGACATAGGCCCCATGAACTTGGAGTTCTCTGTTGTCTACTTTCTCCGCTGAATAAATACAACAGGAAAGTAATTCTTTTTAGAATAAATAAAAAGTTATGTCCTCCCTCCCTTAATAGTTTTACGTGATGCTAACAATAGGCTTTTCAGTTTGAAAACAGGCACCAGCCTACATTACAGAATGAACTTTGAACAAGGTTCACTTTGAAAGTTTAATCAGTGACCTAGGTGTAGCAGGAGTTACCCACTCTTATATAAAAATTATAAAATCTTTTGTTTGCATATAAAAGTAGTCATTTCTAATTCAGATTTTTAACTTGAATGATAGTTATAGGGAGTACTTGATCCACTTTTTCATTTTTTTCATCTCGTTTTTCATTTTTGTAATCTACGACACAAACAGAAAAGTGAAAAATACACATATGTACAGCTTAACAAATTAGTATTCAATTGTCACCCAAGTCACCACTGAAATCAAGAAACAGAACTTTGCCAGCCACCTAGGGGACCTCAACAGGGCCCCCATTCTCCTCCCAATCCTCCTTACTCCCACACCCAGTTAACTATCAGAAATGTAGCGAGTGTAAACTGAAGAACTGAGTTTTTCATTTTATTTAATTTGAATTAATTCAAATTTAAATAGGCACATATAGCAAGGGACTGCCATATTAGACAGTGCAGGTTGAGTATCAGCATCACTTATGAAGTTCCTGCTTTTGAAACTTTATTTGTTTTTTCTTAGGAGGACATTACTGATATCCCTAAACTTGCAGATAATCTCAAATTATTTAGGTAAGTAAACTTTTATGGGGAAAAGGAGTTACTCATAACAAAGTCTTGAAGATAAAGAGTGCAGGAGTTTAAATTATATATCCCTGAGGCAGGTTCATGGTTCAAAGGTAAAATGTGCGCTTTGCCATCAGACAAACAATGGGTTGAGTCGTAGCTCTACCACACACACCAGCTAGGTGACCTTGAGCAATATATTATGTCTCTGAGCCTCCATTTTCCAATCTATAAAATGGGAATATACCTCCCCTTGGGCTTGTTGGGAGGATTCAATGAAATAATGCATATGAAGCACTGAGCGTGGTACCTGGTTCATAGTACATGCTCAGTGAATGGCAGCGTGAACCCTCAGTGAATGGCTGGGTTCACATCAGCAATAATAAACACATCCGCCATACTAGAGCTTCTAGTAGGTTCCATCTGGGAGGCTCAGTACGCTGATACCATTTGAAGGCTTATAATTTAAAAGCCATTTCTCTCTAGAACTTTGATCCTGGGCTTACAGAGAGTAGTCACCTTAGTTTATCTACCTGTTTAAGTACTTCTGATAAACTCCTCCATCACCTCAGGTTGACCTGAAACTGCTAAAAAGGCAGAGAAGGAGTTTTATTTTTCCATGGAAATAATGAACTGCCACCTCTGCAATGGTGCCAGCGTATGTTAGGTTGAAAGAAACAAGGCTCTTTGAAGTCCTGTCAGTTCCTTATTTCACTTTATGGTTTGTTGACTTTTCTTAACCAACGGGCACTTCACTGGGGCAGTTGGCTTTAAAGGAAACACAAGTTGCTTTTGATAACACATGATGCAAAGAAAGAATTAGAAAGAATGAGCAATGAAGCCGGTATAAATGACAAACAAGTGTCCAAAGGTAACAATATTTGTCACTGGGTTTCTACAGGTATGGTTTTGGGGATTTCTTACTGTGATTGTAGGATGTGGTCGCAAACAATAGGGTCATTCTTTTTTCTTCTTCTTCTTCTTTTTTTGAGACAGAGTCTCACTCTATTACCCAGGCTAGAGTGCAATGGTGTGATCTCAGCTCACTGCAACCTCCACCTCCTGGGTTGAAGCAATTCTCCCACCTTAGCCTCCCGAGTAGCTGGGATTACAGGTGCCCATCATCACGCCTGGCTACATTTTGTATTTTTGTAGAGACAGGATTTCACCATGTTGGCCAGGCTGGTTTTGAACTCCTGACCTCAGGTGATCCGCCTGCCTTGGCCTCCCAAAGTGCTGGGATTACAGGCGTGAGCCACCACGCCCGGTCAGGGTCATTCATTTAACTTCCCTGGCATAAATGGTTGTAACCACATTTCACTCATATTGTTATAATCAGAGCTACAGGAAAAAAGTAACAATTTGAATCCACAAGTACATCTTAATAAAGTATTCATAATTGTTCCACAAAAAAATGAGTTGCCACATTCTCTGTAGAGGGCAAATCAAGCCCCTCATGAACCAAATGGTGACTGTAGCCTTCCTATAGATGTTTCTGATGAAGAAAGTGATGCTGGAGTTGAATCCATATCACTTATGCTACCCTGAACTGTCACAGGCTTTCGGTGTGACTTATACTCTCAAAATTGCCCTCATATTTGGCCAGTGGATACTATCTAAGGTCTCAAGATGTTGCATTGAATATATAATATAGTTCATGGAAAGAAGAAACAAATGAAGGAAGGAGAGAGAGCTCGTAGGAGGGAAGAGGGGAGGGAGATTCGAGAGTGGAACTCTATTCCTGGTAAGGTGGGACCTCTAATAGGCCCTTCATTTCCCTAGACCTTCTTTCCTCATCAGTACTAAGAGCATTGAACTAATCCTTTGATTTTTAAGTTCTTTCTATTACAGTGAAGCTCTTTTTTTATTTAAAAAAATCTATTAAATTTATCATATAAATAGTGGACTTCAGTTTCTAGCAACAGGGTATCAGCTCTAATGCAAACTCTTATCTTGCTATGAATACATATGCATGCTAGATAAAATAAAAGAATTATAAATACAGAATTAATCATGAAGTGAAACAGAAATGCCAACTTACAGGAAATGAGGCAGGAATCTAGTTCTACAAACGCAGCATCAGCCACACAGAGGAATTTAGGGAATAGAGACAGGTTGTCATGGTTTGAGGCTAGGATTTTAATTCCCATGTAGGGATAGAAGATGAACCTTTCAGTCCTGTGTGAAGCAGGAAGTGAGAACTGAAGCGCCTGCCTAAAGGTGGAAATGAGCAAAGGCTGCCCTTCTGTTGAATGAAAAATAGAAAAACTACCCATTAGCCAAAGAAAGCAGTAAGGAAGTTCATCCTTGCATGGGGTTCTGTGTGGAAATGAAAAGTATCTCTTGAGAAATCAGAGCCAAGGCTGTGTCACACACAGATGTAGATATAATTTTTTTTTTTTGAGACAAAGTCTCGTTCTGTCACCCAAGATGGAGTGCAGTGACGTGATCACAGCTCACTGCAGCCTCTACCTCACAGGCTCCAGCGGTCCTCCCACCTCAACCCTCTGAGTAGCTGGGACTACAGGCATGTGCCACCATGCCTGGTTAATTTTTGTATTTTTTGTAGAGACAGAGTTTCACCATGTTGCCCAAGCTGGTCTCAAACTCCTGGACTCAAGATCTTCCCTTTTTGGCCTCCCAAAGTCCTGGGATTCCAGGCATGAGCCACCATGCCCAGCCTAGATACAAATTTAAATGTCTTATGTGTTTATGTAATAAGGGAATCCTGAAAACATAAAATAGAAACTGATCCGGGATGACAAAACCTATGAAGCCCTAACATATGTAGTTGCAAAAATACCTAGAGGGGAATATCCACAACCAACTACAAAAATTAGCCAGGTGGTAGTGGCACGCGCCTGTAATCCCAGCTACTGGGGAGGCTGAGGCAGGAGAATCGCTTGAGCCTGGGAAGCAGAGGTTGCAATGAGCCGAGATTGCACCACTGCACTCCACCCAGTCTGGGCAACAGAGTGAAACCCTGTCTCAAAAAAAAAAAAAAAAATTCTAACGAGAGCCTGGAGAGCCTGTCTCGCTCGTTCTTATGCACGTCATTCACCACCCAGCATCGCCTCCGCTGCCCCTTCCCCTACCCTGCCCCAGGCTTTGCTGCATAGAGCAGCAGCAATGATTAGCTTTGTTAATGTGTCAGAAGCATCCTGAAAGATGACAAAACTTCCAGGCAGGAGATAGGAGGAGGAACTTGAGATCTCTTGATACTCTTAAGGTCCAGGTAGAACAGAGAAGTAGGGCCTCATTCTTAATCCTAAAGAGAAATATTTAGAGGCTGAAGATTAAACCAAGACCTTATTACCTGTATCTTTTGGTTAAAGGTGCTGTCTTTATTATTCTGAAAATACTATTCATTTTGGAGAATCTGAGTATTAAACAACAATATGTTCCTTAGAACTGCCTGGGCATGGAGGCTCATGCCTGTAATCCCAGCACTTTGGGAGGCCAAGGTGGGCGGATCACTTGAGCTCTCAGGAGTTCAAGACCAGTCTAGCCAACATGATGAAACCCCAGCTCTACTAAAAATACAAAAATTAGCCGGCCGTGGTGGCACGTGCCTGTAATCCCAGCTACCCGGGAGGCTGGGGCATGAGGACCGCTTGAACCCAAGAGACAGAGGCTGCAGTGAGACAAGATTGCGCCACTGCACTCCAGCCTGGGTGACAGAGCAAGACTTCATCTCAAAAAACAAAACAAAAAAAAGAACTGTCTTAACTACAGCCCTCAACATGATAAATACCAATTTTTTGGTTTTTGTTTGTTTGTTTGAGACGAAGTCTTGCTCTGTCACCCAAGCTGGAGTGCGGTGGCGTGATCTCGGCTCACTGCAGCCTCCGCCTCCTGAATTCAAGCAATCCTTGTGCCTCAGCCTCCGGGTAGCTGGGACTACAGGTGCACGCCACCACGGCCAGCTAATTTTTGTATTTTTAGTAGAGCCAGGGTTTCACCATGTTGGCCAGACTGGTCTCAAACTCCTGAGCTCAAGTGATCAGCCTGCCTCGGCCTCCCAAAGTGCTGGGATTACAGACACGAGCCACCGCACCCAGCAAATAAATACTATTTTAATACAGTGTTTTTTCTTAATCCTGGAAATGTTAAGTTCATATAATGTTTTTCAAATTTATTTTATAAATTATATGTAATATTCTTCTGTAATACACTGAGGGGGTTTTGCTGGGTTTTTAAATTTTATTTATTTATTTTTTAGAAACAAGTCCTTACTCTGTCACCCAGGGTGATCATAGCTCACTGCAGCCTCAACCTCCCAGGCTTAACCAATCCTCCCACATAGCTGGGACTATAGACACACCACCACGCCTGGCTAATTTTTCTTTTTTTGTAGAGATGTGATCTTCCTGTGTTGCCCAGGCTGGTCCTAAACTCCTGGCCTCAGGCAATTCTCTCACTTCAGCTCCCCAAAGTGCTGAGATGATGGCACTGGCACCCAGCATATACTTTTTTTTTTTAATGTGCAACTTCTTTCCTATCTTTGTGTTAAGGATAACATATGTTTAGCTAAGGAAAGACTAGTACTGACATGTTTAAAAAAATTGTCCCAGCTGGGCGTGGTGGCTCATGCCTGTAATCCCAGCACTTTGGGAGGCCGAGGCGGGCAGATCACAAGGTCAGGAGATCGAGACCATCCTGGCCAACATAGTGAAACCCCATCTCTACTAAAAATACAAAAATTAGCCAGGCATGGTGGCACATGCCTGTAATCCCAGCTACTCAGGAGGCGGAGGCAGGAGAACCCCTTGAACCAGGGAGTTGGAGGTTGCAGTGAGCCGAGATCGTGCCACAGCACTCTAGCCTGGCAACAGAGCGAGACTCCGTCTCCAAAAAAAAAAATTGCCCCAAATTACATATGAATGGTTCCTCTCTTCTCCAAGAGGAACACCAAGGTTCCTTTCTTCTCCCATTCTTGATGCAGAAGTCCGCCCCTCTGGCATGAGATACCCTGATCTGCCCCCACGGCCAGGTTTCTTCCACAAACCGCATACTAATAATTTCTTTTCTCTGCCTATCTCCAACCCCTGTCCTCCCCCTAGCTCATTCTCACGTTTCCTATTTTGAATGACCCAACCTTTAGGCCTGCCACTGGCACCACCAACCTTGTCTAGTCCACTGTATAAAGTTTTCTGGCCCCAACAGATACCAATACCACAGCTGGATACCTTTCCCCAAAATAGTTTTTAATAACAGTAGAGTCTATATTGACTAGCTGTAGATATCGCTGATTTCCATGGTTCACTGAGAATTCTCCCATAGTTTCTCTTAAGGGTGAAGAGGAAACTACAGAAAATGCTGCTCATGTTTATATCTGACTTGTATGTATGGTAACCTGAAGCTTGGGCTGTCCATATCGACAGCTTTTTCAAATGCAAAAAGTATGCCGAGATTCCAAATGTCACCAGATTCATGTCGGTTCCTCACATACACCATCACAGTTAACACTTCAGTTGCATCAGGTGTTGTGATAAGCTCTTCATGTAGATGAACTCATTCTGTCCTCACAAAAGCCCTGGGTTCCCAGACTACGACGGTCCCCATCACACAGAGGCAGTGCACGCAGCCCAGGTAAGTGCAGGATCTTTCCCAGGACACACGTGTAGACAGTAGCAGAGCCAGGTGTGGCCCCAGGTGGAGGCTTAGTGTTAAAATCTACATCACATATCAGCATTTCATTTCCAGCGCTTGGAAATTAGCAATTTGAAATTATTTTTGAAAAAACAAAGTGTGTTTTCTTTGACACAAACATCTGATCTGATCTGCTTGAAATCTGCAGCGTGTTCCACATTTCTGGGTGGTGGTTTAAACATTCACTATCTTTGAATTTGCAGGCCCAAGAAGTTACTACCAAAAGCTTTCAAACAATATTGGTTTATCTTTAAAGACACATCCATAGCATACTTTAAAAATAAGGAACTTGAACAAGGAGAACCACTAGAAAAACTAAATCTTAGAGGTAAGAGTACCCTATATCTTGCTGTGGCTCATCGTAAGTCAGGGCAGACGCGGTGGCTCAAACCTGTAATCCCAGCACTTTGGGAGGCTGAGGCGGGCGGATCACCTGAGGTCAGGAGTTCGAGACCAGCCTGGCCAAGATGGTGAAACCCCATCTCTACTAAAAATACCAAAATTAGCCAGGCGTGGTGGCACATGCCTGTAGTCCCAGCTACTTGGGAGGCTGAGGCAGGAGGACCACTTGAAGAGGTGAAGGTTGCAGTGAGCCGAGATGATGCCACTGCACTCCAGCCTGGGTGATAGAGTGAGACTCTGTCTCCAAAAAAAAAAAAAAAAAAAGAGGTGAGCAGATTAAAGTCAGGGTTTCGACACCATGAGGCACGGTTTACTTACTTCTAGAGGAACCACCAGAACCAGTGTCACTGTTTTCCAAATGACAGCCTGGCTGCAGCTGCTCTTCCAAGCATGAGCCTTGAATGCAGTCTAGTAAACATGATTATTTGCATTCTGCTGTTCCATCTTTCTCAGTGTGTCCAGAGTTTATGATGTGGTGGTAATTCATGTCCAAGAGTATAGCACATGAGGTGCTGTAAGATCCTGAAAAGTTTTCTGTATTCCAGAACAGTTATATTTAATTCAGTGTCACTTTAATGCCTATTCTAATTTCTGAAGGTCACTGTGAGCGTCCTGATAACCATCTATTAATTGAAATATTTAATTAACCAGTACACTCAACTCACATTATTGTGACAATCAGAGAATTCCTTCTGCTTTGATTTATTTTAAAGTTCATATCCACAATTTTTTCTATGAGTTTGGAGAGCCAGCATTAACCTGAAAATGAACTAAATTGACTTTTTAAGAAAACTGTAAAAGAAAAGCATTTTTCTTTATCTATGTTAATTGTTCATAAGATTTATCTAATTATCCATTAATTAATGTTATCAGCTTGCTCCTCCATTTTTCAAAACCAAAGCAAATCTGAGGGGCTTGTATTCAAAGTCTTTATTTCAGATACACACCTGATGTTTATCTAACAGATGCCTCAGAACTCAGTTTTGTCTCTGATCTTTGTCCTTCAGGCTGCGAAGTTGTGCCCGATGTAAATGTAGCAGGAAGAAAATTTGGAATCAAGTTACTAATCCCTGTTGCCGATGGTATGAATGAAATGTATTTGAGATGTGACCATGTGAGTAAAACCCCAAAAATATTAAGTCACTTCACCTCCACTAAGCCTAAGAGCAAAACCCAAAAATGTTTTCACAAATTTAGAGCACTATTGTGTCACTCAGCTATTGCTTTGTAACAAACAATCACAGTGTAACAAAATCACAATGACATTCTAACAATAAACATTTGCCATGCAGTGGCTCACACCTGTAATCCCAGCACTTTGGGAGGCCAAGGTGGGCAGATCACCTGAGGTCAGGAGTTCAAGACCAGTCTGGCCAATATGGTGAAACCTCATCTCTACTAAAAATACAAAAATTGGCCAGGCATGGTGGTGGGTGCCTGTAATCCCAGCTACTTGGGAGGCTGAGGCAGGAGAATCACTTGAACCCAGGATGCAGAGTTTGCAGTGAGCCAAGATGGCACCACCGCACTCCAGCCTGGGTGACAGAGCAAGACTCTGTTCCCCCAGAAAAAGAAAAACAATAAACATTGTTTTCTGAAAGATGTGCTGAAAGGTAGGCTGGGGATTGGATGATCCAGGATGGTGTCAGCTGGTCATATGGGTTTGGAGACACAGGTTTGGTGGGACTGTGCCTCTGGTTGAGCTGATTTTATTTATTCTGGGTCCCAGGCTGCCTAGGGAAGGTCTCCTCTTGGTGAGGGCAGAAGTGTGAGAGGGCACGTAGCAACACATGCACCTCCTAAAGCTTAGGCATGAAGTTGGCACACTGTCACTTCCACCCACATTCCATTGGCCAAAGCAGAAGACATGACTGAGCCTGCAGTCAAGGGATGGGAATTCCTCCCTGGTGGGAGGAACTGTAAAGTTATATGGCGAAGGTTGTGGATGGCAGTGGTGGGGGGTGTATTAGTCCATTCTCACATTGCTATAAAGAACTACCTGAGACTGGGAGAGAAAAGAGGTTTAATTGACTCCTAGTTCCACAGGCTATACAGGAGGCATGGCTGGGGAGGCCTCAGGAAACTTACAATCTTAGCGGAAGGTGAAGGGGAAGCAAGCACATCTTCACATTGTGACAGGAGAGGGAGAGAGTGAAGGGGGAAGTGCCACACACTTTTAAACCATCAGATCTCATGAGAACTCACTCAATATCACAAGAACAGCGAGAGGTATATCTGCCCCCATGATCCAATCACTTCCCACCAGGTCCCTCCCCCAACACTGGGAATTACAATTCAACATGAGATTTGGGTGGGGACACAGAGCCAAACCTTATCAGGGGCAGTGAAGATTGAGGCCAGTAATTCAACGTTCCTCACCCACTGTTGCACTGAAGAACGCCCCTCTTTAACTGTATCCCTTGCACTTCTGAGGACCACCCCTGTTCACTCCCTGAAGTCAGAAATAAAACACAGAAATTAAACAGCAATAGAAGCCACCACTGACTTGTTAAGATCCCATAATGGCCATGATTGCTACCTTAGAGTTAGAGTCTTTACCAAGGATAGACCAGGATACAAATAATATAGGAAATCAGCTAATTTTTTTCATCATTTTCTTTTGGGCGTAGAGACCAGATGTGATATGAAAACAGAAATACATATCAAGGAAAGCTGACAGTTTGCGGTTTCACCACCTATCTGTGCCCCATGGCACTTCTTTGTGTCCTTGGACCTTTTTTTTTTTTTTTGAGATGGAGTCTCGCTCTGTCACCAGGCTGGAGTGCAGTGGTGCAATCTCGGCTCACTGCAACCTCCACCTCCCAGGTTCAAGTGATTCTCCTGCCTCAGCCTCCCAAGTAGCTGGGACTACAAGTGCCTGCCACCACGCCTGGCTAATTTTTTTGTATTTTTTAGTACAGATGGGGTTTCACCATGTTAGCCAGGATGGTCTTGATCTCCTGACCTCGTGATCCACCCGCCTCGGCCTCCCAAAGTGCTGGAATTACAAGTGTCAGCCACCACACCTGGTATTTTTTTTTTTTGACAAAGTATTGTTCTGTCGCCCAGGCTCGAGTGCGTTTGTGCAATCTTGGCTCACTGCAACCTGCATCTCCTGAGTTCAAGGGATCTCCTGCTTCAGCCTCCCAAGTAGCTGGGATTACAGGCATCTGCCACTACGCACAGCTAATTTTTGTATTTTTAGTAGACACAGGGTTTCACCATGTTGGCCAGACTGGTCTCGAACTCCTGACCTCAGGTGACCCACCCACCTCAACCTCCCAAAGTTGAGGATGACAGGCATGAGCCACCGCACCTGGCCCTTGGATCATCTTTAAATGCAAATTCCCTGCATGCAATTTATCAAAGTTGACATTCCTATCCTCTAGCCTCCCAGCATCTAGAAACTCAACACAGGACTCAAAAACTACTGTTAGGTGTTACATTAGCTGATGAGCAGCCACTCACAACGTGTGCCACTTCACATCTTGCTTGGAAGGTGATGGTTTTGCACTGTAATGGGGTAGAAAGCCCAAGTCCCCCTCTGTGTGCAGCAGGGGGCTTTGCACTTGAGCTTGCTTCTCAACCTTCTGTTTGCTGCAGGAGAATCAATACGCCCAATGGATGGCTGCCTGCATGTTGGCATCGAAGGGCAAAACCATGGCAGACAGCTCCTACCAGCCAGAGGTCCTCAACATCCTTTCATTTCTGAGGATGAAAAACAGGAACTCTGCATCTCAGGTGGCTTCCAGTCTCGAAAACATGGATATGAACCCAGAATGTTTTGTGTCACCACGGTGTGCAAAAAGACACAAATCCAAACAGGTACTGTTAATCTTGTTAGGGCAATTGTTTGCAGTAAATTCTTTATGCAAACAGAAATAAAAGGAGGATTTCCGGCTGGGCATGGTGGCTCACACCTGTAATTCCAGCACTTTGGGAGGCCAAGGTGGGTGGGTCACTTGAAGTTGGGAGTTCAAGACCAGCCTGGGCAACACGGTAAAATCCCTTCTATACTAAAAATACAAAATCAGTCAGACGTGGTGGTGCACACCTGTAATCCCAGCTACTTGGGAGGCTAAGGCAGGAGAATTGCTCGAGCCCAGGAGGTGGAGGCTGCAGTGAGCTGAGACTGCACCACTGCACTCTAGCCAGGGCAACAAAGCAAGACTGTGTCTCAGAAAAAAAAAAAAAAGGAGTAATTCCATCTAATTAAGAGTATCATCATGAAAAAATCAGTTGATGCTGAAATTTGACTATGTCCTGAATATTAGATGATGTTATGAAATTATTGTTAATTTTGTTAGAGGTGACTGTACTGCTGACTAAACATGTAGGTATTCCCAGATTGAACTTATTTAGTTCTCACAAATTAATAATTAAAATTATGCTTCTATAGGAGTGGGTTAAAAGTTGCACAGATGAGCTGATTCATGTAGAATCATTGTCTGTGGACACTCCACAGACCTCAGACAGAGGGACCCCAGAGCTCTCCAACTGCACCAACTTTAGAAGTTTATGTGTTGGGTGATCCTTTTCCTGCTTCTTCCAGTGATTGTTGTATCTTGTAGAAAAAGAGAGAGAATGAATGGATGAGAATGGATTGTCTTTGTAGAGCTGCAGACGGACCTTGAGTGTATTGTTCTTATGGGGGATCTGGAGCTAACAGGGTGATCACAGAGCAGCCGGTGCATGTGAAGAGAGGTTGATGTCTGTTTCTGTTCAGCTGGCCGCCCGGATCCTGGAGGCGCACCAGAACGTGGCCCAGATGCCCCTGGTCGAAGCCAAGCTGCGGTTCATCCAGGCGTGGCAGTCACTGCCTGAGTTTGGCCTCACCTACTACCTTGTCAGGTGATTACAATGTTCACTTGTTTCTCACACTTTCCATTCAATTTTAAGTGGCTTTTGGGGAGCCCCAGTTTTCTCATTTAGCATAGAATATAGAATGCTTTTTATTTGAGAATATTGCCCTTTTATAAATAGTCCTGACACTTTGGGCTGCTCATAAACATTTTCCATACCTTCTGTTCTAAGTTCCAATACCCCTGAAACTCAGCTAAATGTGGGAAAGGAAATTTTAAAAGGAGGGTTTTTTTTAGGATAACTACATTTCCAAAACCAGAGGGTAAACATCACATATTGATTTTATGAAATCTGTAACTTCTTTTCGGTTTTTTTTTTTTTGTTTTTTTTTTTTAAGAGATCGGGTGTGGGGAGGGTGGCCGGGGGGGGGGGTGTCTCATTTTGCCGCCCAGGCTGGTCTCGAACTCCTGATCTCAAGCAATCCTCCCACCTCAGCCTCCCAAAGTGCTGGGTTTACAGGCATGAGCCACCACACCTGGCTACGACTTTCTTTCATGTCAGCTTCCTCCTTTTTGTGTCTCATAGTGTCTCGTGGTGTGGCTTTGCAGAATTGTTAGGTTTTTAGAGAGGTCCCCGCAAGCTCTGTCTTATTTCTACCCAGGTTTATCAGGTAGCAACCCTGTTCTCACTGGTCTCTGAAGATTTCTGGGTCTGAAGGATGCATAGGAGGCCCATCTATTGCCCCCAGAAAGACAGCTTAAGTGACTTGTCCAAGTTCACCCCCAGTCCAGGGCACACTTGGCATAAAGCCCTGCATCCTCATTTGTTATCCCCGCCTAGCACTATGGCTCTGCCCCACTGTATACAATGGATGGTTTCCCAAAACATATCCACAAGCATGCTTGTAAATCAAATTACATTCTTCAGTTCAGAAAAGGAGACTGATGCTTAAGCAAAATCTACCCCCAATCCTACAGTACAGCAAGTACTGTCACTTTCTCATCTTATAATTTCGGGGTGGGATAATTGGTTTGTATTTTTAATCATTGGCAGTTTTTGTTTTCTTGGCCCTTTCCAAAGACTCCATTCCTCCATTACTTCTAACAGGGGAGTCTATTCAGACTTTCCAGCTGGGCGCGGTGGCTCACGCCTGTAATCCTAGCACTTTGGGAGGCCAAAGTGGACGGATTGCCTGAGCTCAAGAGTTCAAGACCACTCTGGGCAACGTAGCAAAACCCCATCTCTACTAAAAATACAAAAAAAAATTAGCTGGGCGTGGTGGTGTGCAGCTGTAGTCCCAGCTACTCAGGAGGCTGAGGCACTAGAATTACTTGAACCTGGGAGGTGGAGGTTGCAGTGAGCTGAGATCGCGCCACTGCCCTCCAGCCTAGGCGACACAGTGAGACTGTCTCTAAAACAAAAACAAAACAACAGAAAAAACAGACTTTCCTATTCACTGAAATATCTCATTGAATATCAGTCCCCAACGTTTGTCCCAAACAAGCAACTCCTTCTGCTTTACTTACCCCAACAAAGGAGTGAGGAAGCGCGGAGTCGTACTGGATACCCACTATGTGCGCGCATATGTGTCCATGTGCGGACACACACACACTCACCTGTAACCCTGAAGTCAACCCCGCATAGTGAAAACCACATAAATACTTGAACTGACCAGGCCCAGCTTTCAGTCTCACCTCTGCCTCTGCTAGCTCTGTGACCCGGGCATTTTTGCTGCGCTCCCCAAGCGCAGCTTCTCCATGTGTCCAGTGGGCTCTCCGAACCTACTGTGTTGAGAGAATCCAGTGCAGCCTGCAAGCAAAGTGCCTGATACGTGGTGAAGCGTGGTGTGGGCCTGAACAACTTTCCGGTGACAACTCCTCCTTTACCAGCTACTTCCCCCTGCACCTCCCTCTATCTCTAACACCTGTTTATGGAGGTGAGGCTTTGAGGCAGTGGGCCCAGGTGTAGCGAAGATCTGCTTTTTCCAAGGTCAGTCAGAGTCAAAGCCTGGAGCAGCCATGCTGTGTGTAGGATGTCTGGCGGAATCGGGATCTGCCCACACCCGAGAGACCTAGGTCCTTGCTTCACCGCTCCCTGGATGATGGAGAGCAGCCCAGGGAACTCCCATAGGTTAGAGAGAAGCGGGTGGAGTAAGAAGTGGGTTAATTTGTGATATTAAGCATTAAGGTGGTGAAATGAAGGAATAATGTGGAAAACATTCCAGAACAGGGGAGTAAATTTTAACCAAGGGTGACATGCAGAAGATAAGAATGATGTGAAAAGTGACATATTCAGCTAGGAATTCTTTTAAAATTATGCTTTTCTGTCTCCTGCAGCATCATTTTTCACATCAGTTTCCCCTTCTTGCAACCCCCTCCAGCTGCTCTCCCCAAGCTCTGCCCTAATTTGCAGTAAAACTTCTTGAATGTATTGTACGTACCTACTACCTCCAATTCCTTGCTTCCATTCTCTCTTGAAACCACTCCAGTTAGGTTTTCTCTCCCTCCCTACCCCACTGCCCCTGCTACTTTCTGTCATCAAGGTCACCTCTTGGCCACCCATGACCTTCACATTGCTGAGTCCATTGGTCGCCTCTCAGTCCTTGCACCAGCTACCCTCTCCGCAGCATTTGACACAATGAGTCACCCCTTACCCTTTGCCAACTTGCATCACTTGCCTTCCAACACAGCTGACTTTCCTGGCTTTTCTCCTCCCTCACTGACCAGTTCTTTTGGTCTCCTTGGCTGGTTCTTTCTCATCTTTCCAATCTCTTATAATACCAGAGTGCACAGTCCTCAGTTTTTTGGTTTTTTTTTTTTTTAATTAGAGGCAGGATCTCACTCTGTCACAGTGGCACAATCATGGCTCACTATAACCTCAAACTCCTGGGCTCATGTGATCCTCTCACCCCAGCCTCCCAAGTAGCTGCGACTTGTGAGCCACCACACCTAGCTAACTTTCTTTTAGGAGATGGGATCTCACTGTGTTACCCAGGCTGCTCTCAATCTCTTGGCTTCAAGTAATCCCCTTGCCTCGGCCTCCCAGAGTGCTGGGATTTCAGATGTGAATCACTGCACCCAGCCAGGCCTCAGTTCTTAAAGCATTCCTCTTCTCAATCTCTACTCACCTTCTTGGGTTCAGCCATTCTTTTGACTTCATTTATATGCCAATTACTCTGAAATATATATCTTGAGCCCAGAACTGTCTCTTGAACTGGAGATTCATAAATCCAGTGACCCTTGGATATCTAATGAGCATCTCATCTTTACATGTCCAAAGTTCCGGATCTTCCCCCTAAACTGGCTCCCCGCTACATACTTCTTCATCTCAGTAGAAGGCAACTCCTCGCCCTAGATGTTCAGGCCAAATCCTTTGGAGTCATTCTTGACTCTGCTCTTTCTCTTACACCAACATCCTGCCCATAGGCAACTCCTAGTGACTCTACCTTCAAAGTACACACAGAATCCGACCACTTCTTCCGCCTCCTCCTCCACCACCACCATCACAGAGCCGGTCCAGAGTGATCCTGCTTGGTGTTCCTGCCTCTACCCTGATCCCACTAAATTTTCAACTTAGCAGCCAGAGGGATCCTTTTAAAATCTAAATCAGATTTTGTGAAGCCTCTGCTCAAAACCATCTGGGACAGGTGTGACAGCTTATGCCTGTAATCCCAGCACTTTGGGAGGCAAAGGCAGGAGGATTGCCTAAGTTCGGGAGTTCAAGACTAGTCTGGGCAACATAACAAGACCCTGTCTCTACAAGACACACACACACACAAAATCTGAAGGATTTCTTATCTCACTCAGAGTAAAAGCCAGATCCTTACAGTGGCCTACAAGACCTTTGCTCTTGAACTCACATTTCTCTCCCCTCCTTCACTGTGTCAGCCACATGGGCCTCCTGGCAGGTCCTTAAGCACATTAAAAAAAAAATTTTTTTAAGTGGCTGTGCCCTCTGCCTGGAATACTCTTTCCCCAGATATCCACGCGGCTCACATCCTCATGCATATCCATTTTTTGATCAAATGTCACCTTTTCACTGACCTCCCTGTTTCAAACTGTAACCACCTTATTACCAGTATTCCCTGTAGCCCTTCCAACTTTATTTTCCTTCATCTTATCTGGCATATGTACCTCATACTTATGATCTTCTCCCTCCCACAGTCAGAAATTTTCCATCCGTTTAGTTTACTACTATATCTCCCATGCCTAGAAGGGTGCCCAACACAGAGTCAGTAATCATTTTGAATGAATTTATTTGATTCCATCTTATTTTTCTTCTCTCTGATGTCAGTTTTACTTAAAGACCATCTGCAGGATAGCCTTCATTCTTTTTTCACGCTGTCTATATCCCAATAAAAATGCCCCCCTGCAGAAAGTTAATTCTTCATTGTCCATTCCTCTGAAATGATTCAGAAATACTGGTAGTATTTTTAAGAAGTTATATGTGAGTGAACATTGTATTATAGGAAGCAGTTGCTTCTCTTAACTAATATTATGATTCTTTTCAGATTTAAAGGAAGCAAAAAAGATGACATTCTGGGAGTTTCATATAACAGGTTGATTAAAATTGATGCAGCCACCGGGATTCCAGTGACAACATGGAGATTCACAAATATCAAACAGTGGAATGTAAACTGGGAAACCCGGCAGGTAAAGTGAAAGTTTTTGCTCTTCAGTGTTGAGCCTATAAATGTGTGTCCCTCAGAATTGCAGATTATTCTGAGTTTTAAAAGGTGTTCTTCTATTTAGACCTAAGAAACCACAAGCATATGGTAACTGTCTGTCTGCTAAAATCATCATATGCAATTCTGGGCAGCTTCCTAACAGGCACAGGCCAAATGCTCTTGCATTAGCACTGCAAGTTGGCTTAGTCTCCATGCAGACTTTCAATACAGACAGGTTCTGAAATCGCTGAGCAGTTTCATTAATTTTCATTGACTCAGCATAGGATTATACAGGATTTAGCTTGATACTTACTTATGAGAAACTACTGGAGATGTAACTGCTATGCAAAATAAATCCAAAAAAAGCCTCATCTGACTGGCTGCCAAGAAACCCGATGGAGGACTGGAAGATTCAGTTGCTCACCTGGAGAGCATTCCAGGCCCAAAAGGGAAAAACTGCTGAAGAAGAAAGTGAGGTCCATAGTGATGACTGAGAAAAGCTTCACCTCTTAAAACCAGGAGCCCTCAAACCCCTAGCCTATGTTACAGCCTCCCATCATCTCCCATCCTAGGAGCTAAGTTCAGGCCAAGCCTGTATCATGGAAAATTCCAGATGAAGTTAGAGGCAGCTTAGCATCCTGCCGCTAATTTAAAACATTCTGCCCAGTGCTTTGGGAGGCCGAGGTGGGAAGGATCACTTGAGGCTGGGAGTTCGAGACCAGCCTGGGCAACATAATGAGACCCTGTCTCCACAGAAAATTAAAAAAAAAAAAAACAAAAAAAAAAAACGCTGAACTAGCCAGGTGTGATGGTGTGCACCTGTAGTTTCAGCTACTCAGCCAGGGATGATCAGTTGAGGTTCGAGGTTACAGTGAGCAGTGACTGTGCCACTGCACTCCAGCCTGGGTAACAAAGCAAGACCCTGTTTCATTCATTCTTGAATTAATTAAAACATTCAGATGTTGCTGATACAGACTCAATCTTCCCTCATTCCTTTGGCATTCTCATTTTCCAATAGAAAGTCACTGACGTAGAGGGATGGTAAGAGACCCACACATTTGTTAAGAACCCTGACTTCCTCTCAGCAGTGTTGATAATCATCTGGGTGCTTATTTGTAAAATCAAGTTCAGAGATTAGATGACCTCTAAGGCGGTAGCTCTAAAGCCTTGATGCGTATTAGGATCACCTGGGGAGCTTTAAAACACCACTGCCTAGACCACACCCAAGGCCAGTTAAATCTGAATCTCTGGGAGGAGGAACGAACCATTAGTAATTTTTAAAGGTCCACAAGTGATTTCAATGGGCAGCCAAGGTTGTGAACCAGCAAAGTCTCTAAGTCTTTCTTCTAGTGCTTAGAGTTTATGACTTGCAGCTAGGAAAGGGTTCCGGGCAGTGGCTGTAGGAAAATTCAGGCAGACTTTTATTCATTAAAGAGCCTGCAGGCCGGGTGCAGTGGCTCACGCCTATAATCCCAACACTTTGGGGGTCCGAGGCATGGATCACTTGAGGTCAGGCGTTCAAGACCAGCCTGGCCAACATGGTGAAACCCCCGTCTCTACTGAAAATACAAAAATTAGCCAGGTGTGGTGGCACACACCTGTAATCCCAACTACTTGGGAGGCTGAGGCATGAGAATCGCTTGAACCTGGGAGGCAGAGGTTGCAGTGGCCCGAGATCGTGCCACTGTACCCCAGCCTGGGTGACAGAGAGAGACTCCATCTCAAAAAAAAAATAAAAATAAAAATAAAGTGCCTGCGAAGCACCCTGCCCCTCAACACAGGGAGACAGAGAGTGCTTGGGCAAAATCCTTGTATCTAAACTGTAGACAGAAAATGTGTTGGGAGTTTTTTTAACCAGACGTGCAGCAAAGTCGACACCACCAGAGGGCGCAAAGAGAGCAAAGATGTTTTCTGGAAGCGTTTAATGGAAGTGATGGTTTTCTGTGTGTTTTAGAGGGATATCCATCTGTTATCCACCTCAGCAGCCCTCAGCTCCAGGGGCCAGTCCAGCAAAGCACTTTTTTTTTCATCATTCCTTGTCAGAGTTTAAGCTTCTCTGTGCCTTCCTCTTCCAGGTGGTCATCGAGTTTGACCAAAACGTCTTTACTGCTTTCACCTGCCTGAGTGCAGATTGCAAGATTGTGCACGAGTACATTGGCGGCTACATTTTCTTGTCCACCCGCTCCAAGGACCAGAATGAAACACTCGATGAGGACTTGTTCCACAAATTGACCGGCGGTCAGGATTGAAACAAGCACGCGTGCTCGGCTCACACCAACAAGGCAAGCCAAAGGCGCCCCTCCCCAGAGGGATCCCTAACGTGCCCAGCATGTAGATTCTGGACTAACAGACAACATACATTCACCGCTGGTCACCCAGATCCTCATTCAAACCCACTGCTGGCACATCCCTTTCCTTACTTTGCCCTGTGCTACCAGCCACGGAAGGAGCCTCTCTTGTTTTTTCTATAAAATGGGTAGGCAGGAGAAAAGCAGGTGCCCTAAGATTGCTCTAAGGCCCAGCATGTGGTTACAGTTCTCTGACTTGCAGAACCTGCCAGGTGTATGGCTACAAGTTATCCTCGTGCTGATCTGTCTCATTACTAAGTCAATGGAGAAGACAGAAAGGTAAAAATCACGTGTAGCAAGAACAACTCTTATTTCACAAACTCAGGTATGAAACGAAACGCCTGTCCTTCATGGAACTGCTTTTAGCTCCTGTCTTTTCAAAATGGCAGAGGGAGTTCCTACACACACTTTTTCCCTGGAGGCCAAGGTCTAGGGGTAGAAAGGGGAGGGGTGGGGCTACCAGGTAGCAGTTGACAACCCAAGGTCAGAGGAGTGGCCCTCAGTGTCATCTGTCCACAGTGATACCTGCCAAGATGACCACTGACCCACATCTGGTCTTAGTCATTGGTCTCCTCAGATTTCTGGGGCCACCTGCAAGCCCCATTCCATTCCTACAGATCTCTCAGCCACCTGTAAGTCCTTTGTGAAGATGTGGGTGACACAGGGGGACAGGAAAACCCATTTCTCAACCCAGATCCATGTCTCCACTGCTTCTACTCTGGGTTGGGATTCAGGAAGACAGGCACAGTCCTCTCTGTTCATAGAAACACCTGCCAGTGTCAAGGATTCCAGTCAGGTGTCTATCCCAACTGGTCAGGGAGAGAAGGGCAGACCCATTCTCAAAGACCACCATGTCCAAGGTCTGACAGCTCCCCACTGGCTGCCCCCACAGGGGCTTTAGGCTGGTCTGGGTCATGGGGAAGCGTCCCTCTTATCGCTGGTCTGTGTTCTCCTGGATTTGGTATCTATGTTGGTACGACTCCTGGCCTTTTATCTAAAGGACTTTGGCTTTTGTAAATCACAAGCCAATAATAGACTTTTTTCTCCCCCTCTGTTTTTTGCTGTGTCATCTCTGCCTTGAGACTGCCTTGAGACAGTGCTTGCCTTGAGAGAGTGAGCCAATTAACAGCTGCCTGAATTGTCATTTTCCATTTTGGTTTGTTAGAGGTGGGAGGGGTGGGTTTTGAGAAGGTCAAAAGCAATACCAGAAGTAAAGGGAAATATCAGACAATATTTTATTATTTTTTCATAGATGTTCTGCCACACAAAGAACTTGGGGTGTAAGGATAAGGCAAAAGCTCCAATCCCATTTTTCAGTTCTCCTAGGATGCACCCCTCAGGGAGCCTGGCCAGAGTTCCGAGGCCCGTGAGCGTCAGCTGTTGCTTTATTTTCCATCAAAGCCCTCTGAGAAGTGAGACCTCAGCAATTCCGGGAGCCACATAGAGACAGACTTGGCAAGGGACCCCCTGGTTCTGAGCCAGTAGCTGCCATCTGGAAATTCCTCTTTTAGCCTCTCCTTAGAGGTGAATGTGAATGAAGCCTCCCAGGCACCCGCTGAATTTCTGAGGCCTTGCTTAAAGCTCAGAAGTGGTTTAGGCATTTGGAAAATCTGGTTCACATCATAAAGAACTTGATTTGAAATGTTTTCTATAGAAACAAGTGCTAAGTGTACCGTATATACTTGATGTTGGTCATTTCTCAGTCCTATTTCTCAGTTCTATTATTTTAGAACCTAGTCAGTTCTTTAAGATTATAACTGGTCCTACATTAAAATAATGCTTCTCGATGTCAGATTTTACCTGTTTGCTGCTGAGAACATCTCTGCCTAATTTACCAAAGCCAGACCTTCAGTTCAACATGCTTCCTTAGCTTTTCATAGTTGTCTGACATTTCCATGAAAACAAAGGAACCAACTTTGTTTTAACCAAACTTTGTTTGGTTACAGTTTTCAGGGGAGCGTTTCTTCCATGACACACAGCAACATCCCAAAGAAATAAACAAGTGTGACAAAAAAAAAAAAAAACAAACCTAAATGCTACTGTTCCAAAGAGCAACTTGATGGTTTTTTTTAATACTGAGTGCAAAAGGTCACCCAAATTCCTATGATGAAATTTTAAATTAATGGGCACCTTTCAACATCATTTGCTTCCTTATCTACAGTTGATTCAGAAATCTGCATTTTTTATTCTTTTATATGACTTTTAAGTAAAAGATTTATATGGATTTGAGTACGGTCCTGTTGTGTCCTCTCCAACCTACTGTCTCCAAAAAGGTGACTTTTTCCTCTCTTATGAAAAGGGACTGCAACTCTGAGGTCTAACATGTGTCTCTCCTCACAGCGCCAAGATTCCGGGTCGTTCCCTCCCGTGGTGTGGGGAGTGGCAGATTCCAGGGGTCCTCAGAGAGCCCCTTAGAAACCTCACTTACCCGCTGGTTTCAACTCCTTTCTCACTGACTTGGTCACAGATTTCCTGGCATATCCTGCCTTATCATGAGCTCTTTTGTCTCTTTCCAGTTCTATATTAAAACACACACACACACACACACACCAGCAAGCAAAGATCCCCAGCGGCAATAGAACAGCAGAAGCCTCTGATTCTGATGGCTGAGTGTTGAGGGCACTTTGCTTTAGTGACATGCAGTTTATAGATATCCCTTTGTGCAATTCTCCTGTCAGCCCACAGAGGGTAGAAATGGCTTCCTCTACAAAGGAGAAAGGTTCAGAAGGTGAACTTGCCCAGGGTCACACTGCCAATGAGCAGTGTTTGTCTTGACTCCAGAAGCCACTAAGCTTAACCCAGCAAACCCCACCCTTCCTTCCCAGCCTTGCCCAGCCTTGAAATGCCCCTTACCCTAGCTCCAGAGCAGGCGTTCCTGAGCTCAGGCTCATACCAGTAAGAGAGAACCAGGGGCATTAAGAGCAGTTAGCTGTGGGAGGAGAGGCTGGACCAAAAAGGTCTGGGAGCCAGAGAAATGAGGTGCTTAGAGTGTTGTTGTTTTTTTCTTTGTTTTAATTTTTGTTTTTGTTTTTTGAGATGGAGTTTCACTCTTGTTGCCCAGGCTGGAGAGCAATGGCGTGATCTCAGCTAACCACAACCTCCGCCTCCCAGGTTCAAGCGATTCTCCTGCCTCAGCCTCCCGAGTAGCTGGGACTACAGGCATGCACCACCACGCCTGGCTAATTTTGTATTTTTTTTAGTAGAGACGGGGTTTCTGCATGTTAGTCAGGCTAGTCTTGAACTCCTGACCTCAGGTGATCCGCCTGCCTCGGCCTCCCAAAGTGCTGGGATTACAGGCGTGAGCCACCGTGCTTAATTTTGGGAAAGTTTCATTTTTAGTCCCACGGTCAGAAAAGTAAGGAAATGAGGAAGCTTTAATTTGAAAACTCATTTAATACAAGAAGTCAAGATATTTTATAATATCTGTCTTCTAAAATCACTTTAAAATTTTATTTTTAACTCACAAGATTTATTTTTGGGGGCTGGGCATAGTGGCTCACCTTGTAATCCCAGCACTTTGGGAGGCCAAGGCAGGAGGCTTACCCGAGCCCAGGAGTTCAAGACCAGCTTGGGCAACACAGCAAGACCCCATCTCTACAAAGATTTTAAAAAATTAGCTGGGCATGGTGGCACATGCCTGTAGTCCTAGCTACTTGGGAGGCTGAGATGAGAGGATCCCTTGAGCTCCAGGAGTTCAAGGTGGCAGTGAGCTATGATCATGCCATCACACTCCAGCCTCAGTGACCCTGTCTCAAAAAAAAAAAAAAAAATTGGCTTCTACATTTAGTATCTCTATATTCATTTTAATTATTTTCTCACATAGCGTGACTTTCCTGCCTCTCCCCCTTCCACTCCTGTCACCCCAGAATCTCTCAGTGGTAGGAGACAGAAAGGGAACATTCCTCTTTGTTATTTCACCCATCTTTCCTTCTCATGCACCCTACAGCCAAGGACTCTTGAGTCCAGGAAATCATAGCTGGAAAATCTGAAAAACTGAAAAAGTGAAGCCCTTGGCCCTCACTTGCTTCAAAGTTTTTCCAATTCCTTGAACCTCACTGGAGTTGTGTGGAAATATTGAGTGCTATCAGAAAGAGGGGAGGCCGGGCACGGTGGCTCACGCCTGTAATCCCAGCATTTTGGGAGGCCGAGGCAGGAGGATCACCTGAGGTCGGGAGTTCGAGACCAGCCTAACCAAAATGGAGAAACCCCGTCTCTACTAAAAATACAAAATTAGCCAGGTGTGGTGGCACCTGCCTGTAATCCCAGCTACTCGGGAGGCTGAGGCAGGAGAATCACTTGAACCTGGGAGGCAGAGATTGCGATGAGCCGAGATCACACCATTGCACTCCAGCTTGGGTGAAAGAGCGAGACTCCTCCATCTCAAAAAAACAAAAACAAAACAAACAAAACAAACAAACAAACAAAAACCGAAAAGAAAAAGCTATCCTGACATTTGCACACACATCTCATGTTGCATCAAGACTCAGTGATTGGCCGGGTGTGGTGGCTCACATCTGTAATCCCAGCATTTTGGGAAGCCAAGGCGGAAGGATTGCTTGAGCCTAGGAGTTCAAGACCAGCCTGGGCAACAGCAAGACCCTGTCTCTATTTAAAATAATCATAATAATTTTTGTAAAGGCTCAGTTATCTCAGAGGAGTCCCAATTTTTAAAAAACCTGAATGAGAATGCTCCTGACTAACACCTGTGGGGAAGATTCTTTCCACTAAAAGGATTTACCTCTTTTCTCCAACTTACTCTGTGAGCTCCAAAAACACCCATAATTCCCCATGTGCTGCAGTGTCTTCAGTCATCACAGAGGAAAAGTCCTATAGCCGCTTCTCCCTAGCCACTGCAAATGACAAAAGCTGCATGGGGACTTAACAGGATAGTGTCTCTCTTCTTCACCCCTGGAAGTTGGGCGGGGAGGCCTCTGGCTGCCCTCTGACATCCCTCAGTTGCAAAAGTGGAGCGTGGAGAGAAGGCAGAGCCCTGTGTGAGAGGAGCAGAGGATCTGGGGGAGGGAAGGGCCCAACACCCCAAGCCTGTGCCCTCTGACTCAAGAGATGTGTTGATGGACATAAATGGGGCCGGTAACAGGGAAGGCAAATTAAGTTCAAAAATATAGACAGCTATGACTGCACCACTGCACTCCAGCCCGGGCGACAAAGCACGACCCTGAGAAAATTTTATTCTCTAAAAATAAAATTTTAAAATAAATATATAAATATATATATAATATAAATAAATAAATATATATATAAAACTGTAAGGAAAGAGTAGGGCTTGCAGCAAGGCCTGGGGTCAGGGCTCAGTGCATAGGCTCTATTGCTGGTGATGGGGTAGCTGGTTTGGGCCCAGCCCCTGGCTGGTAGGGGAGGCTATTGGAAGAGAGCAAAGACCTCTTCCAGGCAGTGCTACAGAGGTCAGGAGGCAGAACTAATGGTGGGATATTCTGGGAAGCCAGGAGGGCTGGGGATGAAGGTCTGACCAGGTGCTTACAAAGGGGCCCTGAATCTCTGTGCTACCAGCTTAATTTCCTGAAATGTCACTAAAGAACCAACATTATTGGCAGCCAGCCCAGCCCATGTGACCCAATGTTATTTAAAAAGAAAAAGAAAAATGTAGCAGAACCACTGTTACCTTTCTAGGAGTTACAGACATCCAACTTCAAAATAGAAACACCCTCATTGCTATTGAGGGTGAGATACCACGCATGAAACCCACGTGGACTGCAACTCAAAGTGTGGTCCTTGGCCCAGCAGCATTTGTCAGAAAGGCAGAATCTCACAGGGCCAGGACTAGGGTGGCACAGGTGAGGCATCCCGGGCACAGCATTTAAGGAGGCCCTCACTGTCAGGGTCGTACAGGGCACCTCCTCGGCTCACCCTAATCCCAGCTCTGAGGTCCACCCAGACCTTTCTGAGTCAGAGTCTGCCTTTTAACAAGACTCTCAGCGATATGTATGCCCAGAGGAGTGTAAGAAGATCTGGCCTTAGAGATGTGGCATGGATTTGGCAGGGAGGATACCAGACACCAGAGGAATTGTCAAGAAAGAGTGTAGATGCCATAAATTCTGCCAGCCAGTGTACTGAGTTAATGGTGTCCCCCCACATTCACATCTGCACAGAACCTGTGAATGTGACCTTATGTGAAAATAGGGTCTTTGCAGATGTAATCAAGTAAAGATGAGGTCATACTGGATTAAGGTGAGTCCTAAATTCAATATGACTGGTGTCCTTAAAAAAAGGAAAAGGTAGGCTGGGGGCAGTGGCTCATGCCTGTAATCCCAGCACTTTGGGAGGCTGAGGCAGGCAGAGCACCTGAGATCAGGAGTTCGAGGCCAGCCTGACCAACATGGTGAAACCCCATCTCTACTAAAAGTACAAAACTTAGCCAGGCAAGGTGATGGGCGCCTGTAATCCCAGCTACTGGGAATCGCTTGAGGCAGGGGAATCGCTTGAACCTGGGAGGCAGAGGTTGCAGTGAGCCAAGACCGTGCCATTGCACTCCAGCTGGGCAACAAGAACAGAACTCTGTCTTAAACAAACAAACTAACTAACAAAGGAAAAGAGCAGGAAAGGCCATGTGATGATGGAGACAGAGACAGGGGTGATGCAGGTGCAGGCCAAGGAGTCCCAAAGACGGCCAGCAAACACCAGAAGCCAGGAAGAGGCAAGGACGGATCCATCCCTGCGCCCTTCAGAGACAGCATGGCCCTGCCGCCATCTTGATTTTGGACTTCTAGGCTCCAGAACTGTGGGAGAATAAATTTCTGTTTCAAGCCACAAGGCTTATGGTAATTTTGTTACACCAGTTCTAGGAAAATAATGCAGCCAGAATCTTCACATCTTTAAAAATGGGGATGCTACCTTTCCACTCTATCACTGGAAGAAACGTATGAGAGAATGGTGCAAAAATGCTTTTAAAACCATAATATGCAATACAAATGTAAAGTATTATTTTTAACAAGAACATATTTTTAATTAGAAAAATAGTTTATCAGCTTATTTTCAAATAAGTGTGATGGTTTGTGTGACAGTTTGGATCATTGTTCAGCAAATATTTTCTCCCCTCTCCTCTCCTACCATGGGTGGCACATACTACCTGCCCACTTACTGTTGGACTTGGCCGTTTGACTTCCTTTGGCCCAGAGGCTGCCACTGTGCTTTTGCAATCCTTTTGCACTCCTGCCTCCACTGTGAGAACAGGATTCCCCAGGTCATCACCTGAGCCACTGAATGGAATCCATGTAGCAGATCTAAATGGAGTCCACAGCCTGGAGCCAAGCCGAGCTAGATCAGCTGACCCACAGACAATTTGTGTGGGAACAAATTCTTGTTATTGTAAGCCACTGAGTTCTGGAGCAGTGTGTTAAGCAGCATCATTGTGGAATAGCTGACTAATGCAGGATGAGATATCCCCAAAAAGGAGAATAAGAAATCTATCCCATTCTAGCGGTATCCTAAGACACAGCTGATGGCATTTCAGAGTGTGTCTTTCTCATCTTTATACCATCCTGTCTCCTGGTTTTTGTTTTTGTATTTTAATAAGCTATCTATTAAGCCATTTGAAATTCATGGAAATTGGCCAGGCACAGTGGCTCACGCCTGTAATCCCAGCACTTTGGGAGGCCAAGGCAGGTGGATCACCTGAGGTCAGGAGTTCAAGATCAGCCTGACCAACATGGAGAAACCCCATCTCTACTAAAAATACAAAAATTAGCCAGGCGAAGTGGAGCGCACCTGTAATCCCAGCTACTTGGGAGGCTGAGACAGGAGAATCACTTGAACCTGGGAGGTGGAGGTTGCAGTGAGCTGAGACCATGCCATTGTAGTCCTCCATTGATTACAGTCCATCTCCACCACAATCAGGTCAAGATATATCCCCGACTCAGGTGTAATAATCTGGGACCTTTGTATCATGCATGTGTTTTCTTCAGAGACTCCGGTGTCTCTCTGCCAACACAACCCCATTATTCCGGCCATGCCATCAGGTTAAATAATTTGCTGAATTTCAGGGTAGGTTGACAGGTTGCCATAGCAGTCAAATAGGCCCCAGGAGCAACAGGGATACCAAAATGGTAAGTGGCTTTGCAAACCAATGATAGAGCAAGTGAAATCAGCTCCCACCTCTCCAAAAAGCAGTCTCAACAATAATATAGCAAACATTTACATGGCTAAAAGAATTAGAAAACTCGTGTGTATTAAGGGCTATCACTTTTGTCTCCTATGAGTTCTCTCAATTCATCCCCTAGGTGAGGAAGGTATTATCAGCCCATTGTACAAAGTAGAAAACATGCAGTGGTGCACTGGTAAATGTTTACAACTCTGTGGACTGGGGAAACACTGATTTGCCAATTCCCATGGTATAAAGATTCCCACCACAGCCAACATGATGTCAGTGAACACAGAGTTGGGAAGAAATGCAAACATCCGTCTTTCCAGTGGGGATAAACCAGCTCCAGCACACATCGGAACTGTGCACAGAGAGGTCAAGCAACTTGTCAAAGTCACTCAGCTAGTATGTGGGAAGCAAGGATTTGTATGAAAATCTTCTGACTTGAGCTTGCTCCTCAACACTACTCTTGATTTCCCATGAGAAGGCAAGGCCTCCGGAGCCAAGGACCCTAGATAGTCTTTACTCGTGACAATGTCCTTGAGTTGATTTTTCTCAGAACATGTTTGAGTAAGACCTACAGAACTCCATAGACACTTTTTTCTTCCAATTACTTTACACTAGGTTTCAAATGCCAAAATAGTGAAAATTTCTGCTAAAAAGTTCTCAGATTCCCACTGTTGGTCCAATGTAACGTTTGCTTGCAAATCTGGGTGAGAGGTGGAGTTAAGAAGGGGAGGAAAGGGTTCTGCCTTTTTTCCCGACAAAGACGACACCAAACCAGAGGACTTTCCACCCCTACAACTGGTTGGCCCAACTCTCACTAGTGTGTGGCAATCGTTGGTGCCAAGTCCTACCAGAGAGAGGTGACTTTTCCTAAGGGACTGAGTTCTGTTTCTAGAGGCTGCATGAAATGTTTTTACCCTGACCTTTTCCTCCTTTTATAAGGTTCTTTTAATCAGGTAGACATCAGGAGAGCAAACAGGCAGCCAACACTTGGCAAGAACCTGCTGAATCCATTGCATGTAACTCAAGCAAAGTTCACCCTTTTAAGATAAGGGGCTGCACATGTTACTGTGTGTTGGGGTAAGAAACATACATGGGCACAGTTGGTCAGATATGAGACCACAGGGATTTGTGAGGCATGCCCTTAGTATTCATGATTATGGTTTTTGCTTTGTTTTGTTTGAGATGGGGTCTCATTCTGTCACCCAGGCTGGAGTGCAGCAGTGCCATCTCAGCTCACTGCAACCTCCACCTCTACGCTCAAGCAATCCTCCCACCTCAGCCTCCCAAGTAGCTGAGACCACAGGCACGCACCACCACACCTGGCTAATTTTTTGTGATTTTGGTAGAGACAGGGTTTCGCCATGTTGCCCAGACTGGTCTTGAACTCCTGAGCTCAGGAGATCCACTGGCCTCAGCCTCCCAAGGTGCTAGGGTTATAGGCATGAGCCACCGCACCCGGCCATTTATATATGGCATGAGCCACTGTGCCATACCTAAAATCAGCTGCTGCAGAACTAAAATGAGCAGATTGCAATTGTGGCCAACACCATTTTTTACCCAAAACCATTTTCCCATCTTCCTTGCTAACAGAACTTGATTTGGGCTGAATCAATGTGTCCAGATCAGTGATAGATCTACACTGGTCTATGCCAATTATGACAATCTTATTCCCTAACTGATCAGCTTCCTTTGTAGGTTGGCGGGGCCGGGGAGGGGCCATGGGATCCAATTCTGACCAATGAGGCCTAAGGGGAAGTATGCTTTGGAGATTTCTGGGAAAGATTTTTCTATCCTAACAAAAGGGAAAGTCAGCTGACGTCACCCTTCACCTTCCTATTCTTCCTGCCTTGAATGTGGATGTGACTTTTTGTTATGTAAGAAAAATAAATGAATGTATTTAAGCCATTGTTAGGTAGGGTTTCTGTACCTCATAGCTGAACGCATTTCTAACTGATAGTGGTGAGCAATGAACAAGTGAATTTTACAGTAATGGAGCAGAGGGTCAAGTTGACCCTACAATCTTTAGCTTGACTAATTGAATGACTGGAAGCCCAATTGGTAGATAAATATAAAGAGTGTCAGAAGGAGGAGAGGTCAGAGCACATAGATAAGTTTTATTTGGGTGACTCTAAGACCTCAGTCATGCCTGACATAATGGGATTCTGTGACGCATGTGTGTGGACCTTTGCAATGGAGCTGCTCAGAACATCGTTGGAACCCCCCTTTGGAAATTCTCAGCAAAGCCTGATTCACCTTCTCTGTAATTTCCTCACTGTCGATGATTTTTCAGTACTTTCATGGGGGGTTGATTTTTGGAAATATCTGAGACTAAGTAAGGTGCATTATGAGATTAGGATAAATAAAATATTTGGGTGAGTGATTTAATAAATAAACATAATCCTGATAATTGTAGAGTGTGTGTGTGTGTGTGTGTGTGTGCGCACGCGTGTATCAGAAACTCCTCCTGAAAGCAATTCCAGAACATGAATTACAAACATGTTTTTAACACTGGAAGCATCATTTGCAAAAATATTTCACTTAACTAAGTAATTTTGCTGAAGACTGACTTTTGCCAAATAATCTTTTTTATCTCTCTTAAAAGTTGGCAATCCAAACATTCTCTCAAGTAAAACAAGCAAGTATTCTCCATGTTCTCAATACTCCTCCCTCAGAAATGGTCTCAGAGTTCTCATCTTGGGTCCTTTATCAGATTTACTTTATGAAATTGAATATAATTTCTGCAGCAATAAAATGGAAATAATAGCATTTGCCTCCCTCCTAAAGAAATGTGGTGAACAAGAGTTGGTCAGCAACACCTAGAATCTGGAGTATCTCTCATGGGTTCCATAAATAGTTGGCATAATTAATAATTGCTAGTAAAGAGATTGTGTTATTAATATATTACTGAGGATTAATAATCATGTATTATAATCTTTCCAGAAATGACAAAATGTCATCACTATTAAAATCTTCTTCAAAAAAATACCTAATGTTCCAATTCTCTGAGATTACTGTCCTACCCTCTTTTCTTCTCAACCCTCCACATCCGCCCCTCAGCTGTTGAGCTCACCTGCACATTATCGAGCAGCATGAAGTTATCATATGGGAACAGCCTCATCTTTTCACTGTGCACCTGTCCTCGCCATATCTTATTTTCTTCTGTTTCAGTGAGGAGTGCCTTCAGAGTATTATCCCCTTGTGGCCTCTGAAGGACTTTATTCCTGCAGTTTCCTCTTCTCTCTTCTGCATCATTCACCTCCCCCCACTCCCCAGTGCCTTCTCATCTAATCTGTAAACATATTCTGTATCTGTGGGGGTTTAAACATGGCTGCAAATTCCTTGACAGTCTTCCCATCAAGAGGGAGGATCTGGCAGGGCACGGTGGCTCATGCCTGTAAAGCCAGCACTTTGGGAGGCCGAGGCGGGAGGATCACTTGAGGTCAGGAGTTCGAGCCCAGCCTGGCCAACATGGCAAAACCCCGTCTCTACTAGAAATACAAAAAATTAGCTGGGCATGGTGGCGTGCACCTGTAATCCCAGCTATGAGGGAGGCTTAGGTGGGAGAATCGTTTGAACCCGGGAGGCTGAGGTTGCAGTGAGCCGAGATTGCACCACTGCACTCCAGACTGGGTGACAGAGCAAGACTCTGTCAAAAAAAAAAGAAAAAAAAAGGAGGTATCTACGTCCCCACTAATTAAATCCGGGGGGTGGAGGGGTTGTGGCTAGATTGACCAATAGAGTACAGCAAAAGGGATACTATGTGACCTCCATGCATAGGTCATGAAAGGCCAAGCAGCATCTGTCCTGTGCTGGAGCACTCCCTCACAGAGCCCTGAGACCACTTTGCAAGAACTTCAATTACCCTGAGGCCGCCATGCTAGAGAAGTCACATGTCTGCACTCCAGTCGATAGTCCTGGTGGAGCCTAGCCTTCTAGTCATCCCCATCAAGGTGCCAGGCATGTGAGTGAAGCCACCTTAAACCCTCAAACCAGCCCTTTCAACAGCTGACTACCAGCAATGACCCCAGTCAATGCTGCAAGAAGCAAAACAATCATCTAGGGGGGCGCTAACCAAATTCCTAACCCACAAAATAACGGAATCAAATACAGCAGGTCCTCAAATCATATTGTTTTATTCAATATCATTTTCTTATAATGTGGATGAGAAAAAAAAATTGGTCTACTGTCTCTGTGAAGTTTGCAGGTTCTCCCCATGTCTACGTGGGTTTTCTCCAGGCATTCTGGTTTCCTTTCACGTCTCAAAGCTGTGTATATCAAGTTCATTGGCGTGTCTACATGGTTCAAGTCTGAGTGAGTGTGTATGCGTGTCTGAACGCACCCTGCAATGGGATGGCATCCTGCCCAGGGCTGGTTCCAGCCTTGCACCCTGAGCTGCTAGGATAGGCTCTGACCACCTGCTACCCTGAACTGGAATAAGCAGGTAAATAATGATCTTGTTTTTATTAATCTTTCTTAAATATAAAATATATGTATAGCTCACATTTATTTTATTTATTTATTTTGAGACGGAGTCTTGCCCTGTCACCTGGGCTGGAGTGCCGTGGCACGATCTTGGCTCACTGCAACCTCTGCCTCCCAGGTTCAAGTGATTCTCCTGCCTCAGCCTCCCAAGTAGCCAGGATTACAGGCACCCGCCACCACGCCCGGGTAATTTCTTGTATTTTTAGTAGGGACGGGGTTTCACTATGTTGACCGGGCTGGTCTCAAACTCCTGACCTCATGATCTGCCCACCTCGGCCTCCCAAAGTGCTGGGATTACAGGCATGAACCACCGCACCAGGCCGTTTATTTTAATATTTAACATTAGAAGTGTTTTGGTCTTTATTTATAAGGTTTGGTGATGTTTTCGTGACCATAAATATGCCACAGGAGCCTAACTCTTGTTTATATCAATTCACCTATAGTAAAATTGGTTTCATGATACATGGCTTCATTCAAAGTCACAGTTTCCAAGAACCTATCAACAACGTTAAGTGACGATGTACTGAATAATGACTTGTTTTAAGCCACTAAGTTTTGGGATACTTGTCAGCAAGAAATAATCACAACAACGTCCCCCACCTTAAATAGTTTTTAAACTCTACCTCGCCCTATTCTTCTGCTCCATCTCACCCTAAAGCTTCTCCAGAGAGTTAAGAAGGCTAACACACACTTTCCCGTGTCCTAACTCACTCCTCTCCTGCTTCAGTCTCAACCCCTCAGTAGACCCTGCTCTTGTCCAGGTCATAAATGTCTCCTCTTATTTAGTCTCTAAAAACCTGATCAGCCATGCTTTCCTCAATGAAACAGGCCTCTCCCCTTTCATGGTATCAAACTTTCGTGAGTTTTCTTCTATCTCCCTGACTGCTCCTTCTCATCCACCTCAGCTCATTCCTCCTCCTCTGCCCACCTTCAAAGGATAGAATGATAGCTTAATCCCCTTCTCTTCCGTCTCTACTCACCTTCCCTAGGTGACCTCAACCCGTCTATTGGCTTTAAGCACCATCTCACTCTGATGCCTCCCAAATGTAGCCCCAGCTCTCCCCTGAATTCCAGAGCTGGATGGCCAATTGTCTCCTCAACACTTTGAGTGCACTGTGAGTGCAGTGCAATCACAGCTCACTGCAGCCTCAACCTCCCACCTCAGCCTCTCAAGTAGCTGGAACCACAGGCATGTACCACCATGCCTGGCTAATTTTTAAACTTTTTGTACAGACAGGGTCTCTCTATCTTACCCAGGCTGGTCTTAAACTCCTGGGCTCAAGTGATCTTCCCACCTTGGCCTCCCAAAGTATTGGGATTACAGGCATGAGCTACCATGCCCGGCCTTCCTTCTGTCTTCACATTGCCTTCTCTGTAGTAAGTTCTCCCTCTTCCTCCCTCTTATAAGAATAGTAGTGATTATAGGACAGGCGGGGTGGCTGACACCTGTAATCCCAGCACTTTGGGAGGCTGATGTGGGCGGATCACCTGAGGTCAGGAGTTCAAGACCAGCCTGACCAACATGGAGAAGCCCTGTCTCTATTAAAAATACAAAATTAGCTGGGCGTGGTGGCGGCGCATGCCTGTAATCCCAGCTACTCGGGAGGCTGCGGCAGAAGAATCGCTTGAGCCTGGAAGGTGGAGGTTGTGGTGAGCTGAGATTGCGCCATTGCACTCCAGCCTGGGCAACAAGAGCAAAACTCTGTCTCAAAAAAAAAAAAAAAAAAAAAAAAAAAAAAAAGAACAGTAGTGATTACATTCAGGGCCCACAGGGATAATCACCTTATCTCAAGGTCTTTACTTTAATCATACACACAAAATTCCTTTTACTATATAAGATAACATTTACATGTTCCAGGGACTAACACATGGATGTCTTTGGGGACTATTATTCAGCCTAACACACCTCACTTCCAATCCACCAACAGATCCTGTTGATTCTACTTTCAAAACATATTTCAAATCCGTGTACTTGTCTTCGCCTTTACTGTCATTACTCTCAGGGCAACATCACCACCTCCCCCCATGGGCATTTTCAACAGCTTCCTAATGTAACTCTCCAGCTTTGCTTTTGCCTGCAATCCACACAGCAACAAGGGCATCTCAAACATAGCAGGCTCTTTCTTGCTATTGCCTGGAACATAATTCCCATGGCCCCGTGCATGACAGCTCCCTCTCATCCTCAGGTCTCAGTTCAAATAAAGTCACCCTTCTTGATGACCATCTCCACTCTCCTTTCCAATTCCTTTATGTCACATCACCCTGTTTATTTCCTTTATAACTCTAATTGCAATCTATAATTACCTACTATGCACCCACAGAAATTAAAAAATTTTAAATAAATAAAAATTTAAAAATCCATAATGACCGTGTTCATTTATTTGCATATTGTCTGTGTTCCCCAACAGAATGAGAGCTCCTTGAGAGGAGGGACTATGCCTGCTCTGGCATTTAGAACAGTATCTAGCACAGAGCAGCATTCAACGTGATGAGTGAATGAATAAATGAACCTATGAACGTGACACTGTAATCAAGGCCTGTGTCAGTCCAAATAAACAGGTTATGCTGTGGTAACAAGCACCCAAAAACCACAAAGTTTTATCTCTCATACTATCTATGCAATGTGATCAGCCCTGGGGGAGCTCGGGTCTTCCTAGGGATCCAGGCTGATGGAGCAACCACCATCAAATAGTGGCAACTGGCATGCCAGTGAGGAAGACAGAGCTCTGGAGGGCCTCATACTAACAATTGGATGGCATTGTCTGGAAGTGACACACATCACTTCCTGTTGCAAATCATTGGCCAGAACAAAACGTGGAAACATGGCCCCACCCACCCACAAAGGGCCAGGCAGTACAATCCTACCAGTAGCCAAAAGAGGCAAAACCTGAAGTATATGGCCAATAGCCCTGATGACTACCACAGAGCCTTTCACAGAATGACCCCAAATAACCTTTCCAATCTCTCCTCCCTACACTCCTCCTCCATGGCCCCCACATCCTCCCACCCCCCCCCCCCACCATACTGAACTACCTGTTTGCTCAACACACCACGCCTTGTCAAGCCTCCATTTCTTTCACATACTGGGCCCTCTGCCTGGGATGCTCTTAAAAGATAACCACTATTCTGACCACTGATTTAGAACGGGAATTCCCTCTGCCTGGGATGCTGTTAAGAGGTAACCATTATTCTGACCATTGATTAGTTTTGCCTGTTCTTGAATTTCATAAAAATAAACCCATATAGTATGTACTCTTTTGTGTTTGGCTAAGAGATTCATCTGTGTTGTTAAGCATGGCATAGTTCATTCTTTTTTGTGGCTGTATAGTAACCCGTTGTATGACTATACCATGATTTACATATCAGTTTTTCTATTGATAGCCTTTTGGGTTGTTTCCATTTTGGAGCATTTATAAAGTTGCTATAAACATTCTTTTGGTGGCTATACACACTCATTTCTCTTGAGTATAAACCCAGGAGTGTAATTTCTGAGTAATAGGGTAGACATATGCCTAGCATTCATAGAGACTGCCAAGAAGTTTTCCAAAGTAGCTATACCATTTGACATTCCCACCAGCAGCATATGAGTTCTAGCCAGGCACCATTTAAGCCCAGGAGTTTGAGATTAGCCTGGACAACATAGTGAGACCCCCACCTCAAAAAAAGTTACATTTGCTCCACAACCTTGGCAACATTTGATATTGTCAATCTTTTGAATTTTGGCCATTCTGGTGGGTGTACTATAGTATCTCATTATGGCTTAAATTTGCATTTCAGTGGTAAATAATGATGTTGAGCATATGCTCCTATACTTATTGAACAGCATGCATTTTTTCATTCAACAAAATGTTCCTGAACATCCACAATGCATCTGCACGTTTCTATAGCAATGGGGAATAAATAACACTCGAGCTCCACAAGATTCCAAATCATTGCTTTGTTTGTCAAGCACTTCTATTTTTGAAAGAATTTTCGTTAACATATTAGAAATCTAAATAAATGCACAGACAAACCCCGACTGCTCTTCTGAAGAAAATTCCAAATAAGGAAATGTAACTGATCAGAAACAGGAGAAGGAGAGGGCACAGTCACACTCATTCATTCAGTAAATCTGTCTCTCTCTCTCTCTTTTTTTTTTTTTTTGTGAGACAGAGTTTTGCTCTTGTTATCCAGCTGGAGTGCAACGGTGCAATCTCAGCTCACTGCAACCTCCACCTCCTGGGTTCAAGCGATTCTCCTGCCTCAGCCTCCTGAGTAGATGGGATTACAGGTGAGTGCCACCACACCCAGTCAATTTTTTGTATTTTAGTAGAGATGAGGTTTCACCATGCTGGCCAGGCTCGTCTCCAACTCCTGACCTCAGGTGATCTACCCGCCTCGGCCTCCCAAAGTGCTAGGATTACAGGTGTGAGCCACCGCGCCCAGCCCAGTAAATCTCTCTTAAGCATCTATGGTGTGCAGTTGCTGCCAGATACTCAGATGCAGCAGTGAACAAGTTAGACATAATTTCTGGATGAACAGAGCTCACAGTTCAACTTTTTGTGATGTGCTGTGTGCTCACACTGTGCATGATTTTTTTCTGTCTTCCATCCCTTCTAGGCTGGGAACTGCTTGAGGGAAGGGTCCAAGCCTTGTTCATCTCTGAGCCCCCGTGTTATCTCCTGAGCACCTGGGTCGTACACTAGCATGGTCTCAAGATACATGTGCTGAACTGCTAAGCCAATTCATTTACTTTACAGATGAAAAATAAGAAATAGACAGAAGCTTAAGAACACAGACACTGTACCCAGAAAGATGGTAGCGGTGTCGGAATGAGAATCCAGCGTCTTGTGTCCCAGTTAAGGTCCTTTTCCCCTAGTATGCTGCCTCTGGCTGTGGTAAATTCCAGAATATAATTTGTAAATTTTCCTATCCACTGTCCCATCCCACTTCCTAAAGTCACATGCAAAATAAAGTGGCAGGTTAGAGTCTGAACTCACATTTCTGTTTGAATCTTTTCCACTATGGATTTTAAAAGGATCTCAAATGGTATCTTCTAAAATTCTAAGCATTCTATCAATCCTCATGCTGAAATATGACTTGGTGAGTGACACTTCAAAAAGAAAATAAACATGCGTCTCAACCCATTACTACTTTATTTCCTCCAGATCATTTCCTCACAGGCAGGGCAGCCACGTCAGTGAACCCACTCAGATATCTTGGTTTCTACCACTTGGAAGCCTCTTTTCTACATTCCATTTTGGGAGAGAGCTGGCTCTTCCCGGAGACTTGACAACCTGGTACCGTCTCCTCCCACAATCACCCTCCCATTCTTCTGGCTTATCTCTGGTGTCAGAGAAGAATGTAATCTTTAGGCGTGTACATTCTGACTCCCATGTTTTGGGGAAGACCCCTCAGCGTAGCTGACTGGCATCTGGAGAGCAGGGCAGGGGCAGCTGGCCAAGCAGTCACCTGTCACCTGGGCCAGCCCTCATCACCCCATTGCAGGCTGCAAGAGTTGTAAAGAGAGCTGGACAGGACTCACTTAGAAGATACCAATTCTGGGTCTCTGGGGCAGTCTGTATTGGGAGTAATTATTCCTGGAGTTCTGGGGGTAAATGGGAACAGCTGGAGTCAGAGCCCCTGAAACCGCTCTGTGGCTTGATGCTTGCCAGGTGTGTTTACTTAGCCATACCTTCAGGGAAAGACTCACATTGCTAATATCAGGGCAGGTGAGACCTGGTTAGCTGTGCAAATAAACCCAGAGCCAGAGTGAAACAGTGAGAATTAGATCGCCTTTGCTTTTCACTGGGTAATTAGGAACTCAACACTGTGTGACCTCAGACAAGCCAATTTCTCTCTCTGGGGCTCAGTTTTCTCCTAAAATCGACAAGGAGGGATGGGACCAGACAACTTCTAAAGTTCTTTCTAAGGCCAAAGATCCATGACTCTGATTTTTATCTAAATCCATAAAAGTGTGGCCAAGTATATAATTACTGGCTCTTTTTTCCCCCTGCTGCTATAGTTTTACTGTCTAACCTTGTAATCTTCCAACAGATTTTTTCTCTCAAAGATCCTAAGAATGTGGGGAATCTGAATTGGAAGGTTTTCTGGGACTCAATTTTCTACCTCCACTTTTGCTCACTCCTCCGTCTCAACTCTCATCTTAGCCCTTCTCAATGCTGGGATGCTGGAGGACTTGAGCTGTGAATTTCAGGAACTTGAATTTGATTTTTACTGTTTTGAGTCCTGCCCCATCCACTCCTGGGAATTGTGAAGAACACCATGATCCTCCATGTACACTGTCATACCTTTTCCCATTCATTTGTCAGAACATTTCTCCTGTGTGCCAGACACCACCCCAGGCACTAGGGCTAGGAAATAAACCATGCGGCTCTGTTATCAGGAAGTTTAGTCCTAAACTACAGAATGAGCCACATCAATCTGCTTGATGAAAGGTAGCCAATGTTACCTAGGAAAGAATACCAAGGAAGGCACTTAATTCGCCTGGGGGCATCCGCTTGGGTGAAATCTTGAAGGATGCTATAGCAGGTGCTGTCAGTGCCTACCCTATCCCCTTAGCCCTCCATGGAGTTGCTTGATCTATGTGCCAGGAAGTTAAAGCCACAGAAGAACCCTCAAACCAACAAAAAGCAGAAGCTGGTGGATAGATATCCCCTCTTCCTTGCCACTTAATGGAACAATCCTGAGGTATGCTCTACACAGTCTTACAGAGGCCCCCAGCAAGATGAGGCCCCCAGCAAGATGGAGCCCCAGTTGTCCATGGCAGTCTCTGCTCATCAACACATCATCAGTGCCTTTCCTTCCCTGTCTCACTTCCTTATTCCATCTCCGCACTCCTTGAGATCGCCTCCCAAATAAATTATGGGTATGGCACCCAGGTGTATATTTCAGGGTCTCCTTTCAAGAGGGCCCACGCTAGTTATAAAAAAAATTAGCTGAAATAGAGACTAAGGCAATAAAATGGGGGGCATCCAGGCAGAGGAACAGCTACAGTAAAACCATGGAGGGCAAGCATGGCACAGCACTTGGCGTGGCATTTGAAGGACGCATATTTGTTGGTTCCAGGATTGTGTTGCAAGACCTTAGCATTCTTCTCTGGAGAGGACAAACACTTTAGTCCTCTTGTCCTGACCTCCAAGAAGTGCTAGAAGAGGAGAAAAGGCTGGAAAAGAGGGCTGAGCCTCCCTGAGAGGTGCCTGGTAGGCCCTACCCAGTCATCCTCTTCAGTCTTGGGCCCACAGTGACCCAAGAAGTCAGCCCTGTGTATTTTGAGAATGAGCTGCTCAACTATGGCAGGAAATTTCCCAGTGTCTTGGCTTCTCACACAATTTGGGTCTAAGTATTTGGAGAAGATTCTCTTGTGCTTAAGGGCATATTATAGTATCAGATGCTGAGGTCTATGGAAGGCAATGTAAGACAGTGGTTTGGCCAGGCGCAGTGGCTCATGCCTGTAATCCCAGCACTTTGGGAGGCCAAGGCGGGTGGATCACTTGAGGCCAGGAGTTCAAGATCAGCCTGGTCGACATGGCAAAACCCCGTCTCTAGTAAAAATAGCCCCTAAAAATTAGCCAGGCGTGATGGCGCATGCCTGTAATCCCAGCTACTTGGGAGGCTGAGGCATGAGAATCGCTTGAACCTGGGAGGTGGAGGTTGCAGTGAGCCACAGCTGCACCACTGCACTCCAGCCTGGGTAACAGAGGGAGACTGTGTCTCGAAAAAAAAAAAAAAAAGACGTGGTTAAATCACATAGCTCACTCCATATGTGCTCCAGAATCTAGAGCACAAAAACCTTTGCGAGCCTCAGTTTCTTCGTCTGTAATATAATAGTAAGTACCTGGGGAGGATTAGACGAGACTATGCATATGGCATTAGGCTCTGACTATAGTAACTGCTCAGTTTTTAAAAAGGAGATGATGAAGCTAAGCAGAGTGGACTACCCACTGGGGCAAGGCCAACTGACTGCCCCAGAAAGACCGATAAGCAAACCCTGCCATGTACGGTCTGCCATCAGCCTCCCCAGCTCAGAAGCCGCACGGGGCAGCCTGCCAAGGATGTGTGTGCTAGGGCTGGGTATGACCAGGGAAACAGGACAGTCCAGAGGGCCAACCTCAGGTCAGCCTGGCCAGGCCAGGCCCTTGCCACCACTGGCAAACTGGCCAGCAAGCAGCAGTGGCAAGAAGTTGGCTCAGAGGGCCTGGGGCTTCAGGCAACCACAGGATGATGCCTCCAGGGGAATTCCTCAGCCAGGGCCACTCCAGAACCCTCGCCTACTGGTGCACAGAGGAGTAGCACCCCGACATGGCTCCCCAAGGTCCTGTTTTATAGGCCTCCGCAGTGAACCAGCTTCCTTCCCCCTCAGGGTCTCTGTTCAGTCCAGGCGTGTTTCCATGGATTTGGCTCCCTCTCATCTGGGAAAGCCCTGCCTGGACTCCCCAAACCCCTGCTGGCCTCAGCATGGTCAGTCGCCTTACATGGGTGGACCTGGCTGGTTTAACTCTGAGGGAAACATGATGTTCTAATTCTTTTTGTTTGTTTGTTTGATAGAGACGAGGTCTTGCTATGTCGCCCAGGCCTGTCTTGAACTCCTGCCTTCCTGCCTCAGCCTCCCAACATGCTGGGATTACAGGCATAAGCCACCATGCCTGGCTTAATGTTTTAATTATTGGGCGTGGAGCTGTCCGTGCAAAGGCAAAGAGGAAGCAGGCTGCCCACTGGTCTGCGTGCTGACCCCACCTCTAAGCTGAACCCACCTCTCTCTGACTTCTTCCCACCTGGCCTCCTATGTCTCCATGGCATGTGTTTATACCTCTGGGGCCTGGGCCCAGGCTCCCTGGGAGGTGACTGCATGAGCCCCAGGCTGGGGAGCACAGAGCGGCCTCTCCCTGCCCCGCTCGGGCAGAGGAGCAACGCTTGTGAGCAGCAGGGTCCTAGCTGGCACTGAGACTGGAAAGATCTTCAGGCTGTGGGTGGAGAAGGCCTCAATGGAGATCCTCGGGAATTTCCAATTAACCAATCAACCCTAATAGGCCAGTTTCTGAGGTATCCTGGAGTTCCTCAGGGCTGTCCAGATAAGGACTGACAGGAGGAAAGTTCTGGTCTCAGTGTCTGTCACGCAAAGCTGTGGCTCATTAACCCTGATGAACTCTCAGATGGGGCTAGGCGGGATTGGGGGAGGATGCAGATCAAAGGCCCTCAGAGGAAATGACCGAGCTCTGCCTTGGGACTCTGGGAGAGAGAGGTGCTGTCTGCTCTAAACAAAAAAAAAAAAAGAAAAAGAAAATAAAGCCACCTAAATCCCGTCATCCCACCATCTAGAGATAATCACTTCTAAACATTTTGTTATTTAGTATTTCCTTTCATTATGACTACAACATAGAGTATAATAAGTGAACATTTATTATATATAGGTGTGTTAGTCTCTTTTCATGCTGAAACTGGGAAAGAAACTGGGAAGAAACTGGGAAGAAAAAGAGGTTTAATTGGACTTACAGTTCTATGTAGTTGGGGAGCCCTCAGAATCATGACGGGAGGCAAAAGACTCTTCTTACATGGTGGCAGCGAAAGACAATGAGGAAGAAGCAAAAGCGGAAACCCCTGATAAACTCATCAGATCTTGTGAGACTTATTCACTATCAGGAGAACAGCATGGGAAAGACTGGCCCCCATGATTCAATTGCCTTCCTCTGGGTCCCTCCCACAACACACAGGAATTCTGGGAGATACAATTCAAGTTGAGATTTTGGCGGAGACACAGCCAAACCATATCAATAGGTGTAAGATAAAAATGAATATTTTTATTTAAAAACTAAAAAAAAAAAAAAAAAAGGTCTCTAAACAAAGCTCACTCAAGCATCACATCTTCGGGAGACCTGGGGCTGGTAGTCAGGACCCATCCTCCCAGGCATGCAGCGGGAATGTTCTTTCTGCATTTCTGTCCTCTGTTTATTCTCACTCCTTACGAGAGACAAACGTCCACACTGTCACTGAGCGGGGGCCCAGAGCCACCAAACAAACTGTCCTCGGGGCCTCTTGGGTCTGGTTTGAGCCTGCTCTGCCCCAGACCCTTCTGAGGATCCTCTCTCCTGCCACTTTTTCCTGGAAATCCCTGCAAGCTTCCTCTAGACTCGGATGCCTTCCCTCCTTTGGGAGAATTGGCTTCCAGCCATCCCAGAAAATGGGAGCCACCTGGCAGGAAGGATCAAATTCCTAAGAGGTGACAGCGCTGCTCTGCCTCACTGCACTCCACTAGCCCTCACCGCTACTCCTTTCATTTCTCCAGCCTGGGAAAGGTAGTGTTCCGAGAGGTAAAGATGGGGAGGGCTAGGAGGAGGTGCCAGGCCTGGAAAGGGCCAGGGGCAGGCCCTAGCGGGAGAGGAGGGAGCTGAGCAATGAGGGTGTTGGCTAAAGACAACAGCGTCTTGATGGGAAAGGAGGAGCAATGGGAAAGACTGGAGTATCTCAGTCCCTCTCAGTGGATGGGGGTTGTGGGAGAGAGGCAGCTGGGAGACAGGCCTCCCTCTGGAGTTCATAGCTGAGTTGCTGTCCAAATCAGTGGTCCCTAGAATCTATAAAACAAAGCTGAGAACTTCAGAGGTGCATCCAGAGAAGCCACACTCCAAAAGGACCACTTCCAGGTAAGCATGACACACTGCTGGGTGCACACGCTCCTGGCTTCAGGTTCCAGGATCTTTCTCACTGCCTTCATCCCCAGCTAGTAATAGGGAGACCCTTCCCCTGGAGCCTGGGTGGTGACTCGGAGATCTACTGGTCAGCACAGAGAGCTGGGGCAGGAATACACATCTGCAGTGATGAGGGATATGGAGCAGTGACCTCATGGCCAGGGCATGGTTAACGGTATCTTTGCCACTCCCAAGCTAGCCCATGGCTGCCGGATCTTCCTCTGCTTGATCTCCTAGCTGACCTGTGCAACCCTAGGTAGTCCAGAAATTCCACAACTAGCAGCTCTCAGCCATCCCTCCTGGGCAGGGCTAATACTGGGGGCTCTGGCTTTTGTTGGAACCCACATGGGACCAGCAAATGTTTGACTCCAGGGTTCACAGGGCTTTGTTCTTCTGCTGAAGGCAACCCTGAGCATGCTGCCAAGAAACTGACTCCAAGACTTATTTTAGGCAAACTAGGATTCCCCTGCGGCTGGGCAGTTCTAATGGGGAAAAGCGGGGTAACTGAGAGTTGCTGAACGGACAAAATCTTCCTCATGTTTCTAGCCTCCTGAGGGCATTCACGTTTATGGAGCAGTGACTGTTTACCTGGGGAGAGTTTGCAGCAATAAAGGGGACATCCCTTTCCTGTAGAAGCTCACAGGATGGGGGTACATAAACGGAGGGAGTTATTGAGAGATTCAGGCCCAGATTGGACAGATGAAGAAGGCCTCCCTCTCACGAGAAGAGGAAAAGGCATCCTTGAGGGGAGGAAGAGCAGGGGGTATCACCGTGCTCCTAGGGGAGACGACAGGGCAAAAGCAGACAGGGGAGAGGTCACTGCACACTAGGCGACTCTGGGAACGTCTCCCCGCCCTGCAGGGAACATCCAGCGCCTGTGCTCCTCCTCAGAGCCCTGGAGGTAGGGTTGGGACGCGCATCTGACTCTTTGTGCGGGGGTTCCTGTGGATTTGATGGGCGTCCTGCTGTTCTCTCCCCAGACGCCATGCGGCAAACCCTACCGCTGCTGCTGCTGACGGTGCTGCGCCCCAGCTGGGCAGACCCTCCCCAGGAGAAGGTCCCGCTCTTCCGGGTCACTCAGCAGGGCCCCTGGGGGAGCAGTGGCAGCAACGCCACCGACTCGCCCTGCGAGGGGCTGCCCGCCGCGGATGCGACGGCCTTGACCCTGGCGAACCGCAACCTGGAGCGCCTGCCCGGCTGCCTACCGCGCACACTGCGCAGCCTCGACGCCAGCCACAACCTGCTGCGCGCCCTGAGCACTTCCGAGCTCGGCCACCTGGAGCAGCTGCAGGTGCTGACCCTGCGCCACAACCGCATCGCCGCGCTGCGCTGGGGCCCGGGTGGGCCGGCGGGGCTGCACACCCTGGACCTCAGCTACAACCAGCTGGCCGCTCTGCCGCCGTGCACCGGGCCCGCGCTGAGCAGCCTCCGCGCCCTGGCGCTCGCCGGGAATCCGCTGCGGGCGCTGCAGCCCCGGGCCTTCGCCTGCTTCCCCGCGCTGCAGCTCCTCAACCTCTCCTGCACCGCGCTGGGTCGCGGAGCCCAGGGGGGCATCGCCGAGGCGGCGTTCGCTGGAGAGGATGGCGCGCCCCTGGTCACGCTCGAAGTCCTGGATCTCAGCGGCACGTTCCTTGAACGGGGTGAGTCCGGGCGCCCCGCGTTTTCAGCCGGCCTGAGCGCAGAGCCAGGCTGCGCGTGCGCTCCGGGGGGCAGGGCTGCGTTCTTCCTCGAGGGGTGACCCGGGTGCCCAGCTCGTAGGAGGGTTCAAAAAGACACCAGCTACATTTTTCGAGCAAGCGGGCCCAGTTTGAAGCGCCACACAGGAGTCACTTTCTTGAATCCTAAGAGATAGGAACTGTTACCATCTCCTTTTTACATATGAGGGAACCCTGGCACAGAAAGGCGAAACTTGGTCACACATTAAGCAAATCTGAACCCAGGCATTCTGGGTCCAGAGCCCAAAACTTTAACCACTCTGTTCTGCTTCCCAGCATGGCTGGATAAGTGCTTGTGGAATGGGGAAGTGAGTGCATGCTTTGGGGCTGATGAATGGAAAAACTGAGCCGCAAACATGCAGTTAGCTGAAGTGACTGAGGCTTCCAGGATGAATTCACTGATTTTTCTACCTGGTTGGGCAAAATAGTTTCTGTGAATGTTTAATCACTCAAGCCACAGGAGAGTGGTGAGGATAACCGGTCTCCTGTTCTTGGTGTTCTTTGATTCACAAGGTCGGTTTTACTATTTTTTAAAAAACACTTCACGTGTCTACAACCACCTGTTTCATCAAAGACAAAGAGAAAAAACAGCTAGAATGGGGAATACCGAGGGGAAGGGGCACGTTCTCCATGTATTAGGAGAGCCACAAAATGAGGTTTCTGGGGGCCCCTCGCCTCCTTAATTACGTTCCGCAGAAGTTCCCCACACTTGACAGACATCAGAGCAAAGTCTGGTTATTTTCTGTGTGGACTTTAATGAGAAGGTGGAGCAGCAACAGACTTGGAGACAGTGTCCTGGGTTCAAGCCTTGTCTCTGCCGCTTTCCAGCTATGTAGCCTTGGGCCAATCAATCCCCTCTCTGGCCTTGGCCGACTCAGATTGGAAGAAAGGAAGGACTGCTTGTCCCTGAGCACCCTTCCAGCTGAAATGACCACAATTCTGAGATTCCCAGAGCTGCTAACTGTGCCCGTGCTCAGCGATGACCTTCACCATTCACCTTGCCACTCTCGTTCTTCCTTCATGCCGTGCTGGCCTCCTGGGTTTGTGCGTTCTGGAGTAGTTGGCAGTTTCCCTTCTGTGTTTCAGTTGAGTCAGGGTGGATCAGAGACCTGCCGAAGCTCACATCCCTCTACCTGAGGAAGATGCCTCGGCTGACGACCCTGGAGGGGGACATTTTCAAGATGACCCCCAACCTGCAGCAGCTGGACTGTCAGGACTCCCCAGCACTTGCTTCTGTCGCCACACACATCTTTCAAGATACTCCACATCTACAGGTCCTTCTGTTCCAGAAGTAAGTGCTTCTGAGGCACATCTTCATCACATGACTGATTTTTGCCCATTACGCTATGTTGAATTTTATAGAACAAACCAGACCTTAATTTTTCTCCCACTACTCTTCCAAATCCTCTCTGGGGCTTTGTTTTCCCCCACCCTTTGGGTGATATCTTGGGTAGGTCCCAGATAGTCCACCCAGCCATCTAGCCTTGCAACTCAGTCCAGTTCAGAGTAGCATTAGAACGCCAAACTCCTATGCCTTTAAAGTTTATTTTAAGCCCAGTCTTAGAAATTTACAGTGGGAAGAGGTGAGGAGGACCTCAGGTCTCCTCTCTGTCTGGATCTGCTTTCTTCCCCACATGTCATGCAAGTTCAGTCCCTTCCAGAATTTGAGTGGGTCTAGGGATGAAAGTATTGATATTGTTAGAAAATCCCTTGGAAGTCTATGGGCAGGCCCTGTTAGTCCTCTTTTACACAATGCAGTCACTAAAGATGGAATTATTCTTCTAAAAGGATGAACAACTTTTCAAAGCAAAGGCAGAACCATTCACTCATTCTGTCCTTTATTCAATAAATAGCTATTGAGCACACGATGTTGTGAGGAGAAATGCTTTGTATCTCTGGCTCAGACTCCTTTGAGCTCGATAAAAACCCAAGAACTGTGTAAAGTGCCAGGATACAAATATCAAGCAGTTTCTTTATCTGTAAGATAGAGCTATGACAATAAAAGTTTGCTTTGGGGCTTTTCATGAGAAAAAAAGTATATGGTTTATGTAGAGCACTTAGCTCAGTGCCTGGCATATGGTATTTGTCCTCTAAAATTAGTGAAGATGATGGTGGTGGTTATAATGGAGATGCTGATGGTGATGACAGTGATGGTGATGGTGTTGATGCTGATTGATGTCAGTGATGGTGATGGTGATGATGAAGGCTGTTGGTGCTAATTATAATGCGAGGATAGTGATGATTGTATGATATAATAGTGGTGGTGAGGCCAGGCATGATGGCTCATGCCTGTAATCCCAGCACTTTGGGAGGCCGAGGTGGGTGGATCACCTGAGGTCAGGAGTTCGAGACCAGCCTGGCCAACATGGTGAAACCCCATCTCTACTAAAAGAAATACAAAATTAGCTGGGCATGGTGGCATGTGTCTGTAGTCCCAGCTACTTGGGAAGCTGAGGCAGGAGAATTGCTTGATCCTGGGAAGTGGAGGTTGCAGTGAGCTGAGATTGCGCCATTGTACTCCAGCCTGGGCAACAAGAATGAAACTCTGTCTCAAAATCAAAACAAAACAAAAAAATAGTGGTGGTGAGAACACTGACAGTGGCAATGGTGATGTGATGGTGGTGATATTAATAAAGATAATGATATTGATGGTCATGATGACTTTGGTGATGGTGACGTTGACAACATGGCCACTGCTTTCAGGGAGCTCACAGTTCAGTATAGGTAGCAGATATCTGCCACTTATCATAACACATCATGATCCATAGCAGAGACACACGCCATGTGCTGTGTTATAAGACAGGTGGGGGTAATGATCCATCAGACTGGATCAGAGAGGCTTCTTCAGGAACAGCATAATTGGTCCATATCTCAAAAGGCAAGTCCAAGCTCACCGGGTGAATGTCAGAAGAGAAAGGCCATCCAGGCCCAAGAAGAGCAAGCATCCCAGGTTGAGAAGTGATAACCACTTCCTCTCATCCCTCTACTTGTCAATTCACTGCAATCTGACCACCCACATCAGCTGCCAAGTCAGTGGACACTTACGTCTGTGGAGCCTATTGTTTATTTCCTCCCTCTTGATGTTCTCTGTCTCTTTGGCCCCCAGATGTTTCCCTGGTGCTTCTCCAGCCTTCCTGGCTAGGCCTTCTTAATGTCCTTGCCTATTTCCACTTATAACTGTCTTGCAGGTCATTTGTCACCCTATGCACTACTCCAGCACCATCCCCTTCCCTAAAGCCTAATGCGTCCTCCTCCATCTCTGTGCTGAGGATGCTTAGTTGAGTATCTCCAGCCAAGGCCTTCTGATGAGCCCCAGAATCACGTATCTAATTGCCTGCTGGATAGTAAAGATCTATGAGGCATCCAGGGGAAATGTTCAGTAATAATAACACGAACCTGTTGTACTGTGCCAGGCATAGTTCTAAGCATATATTGAAGTATTTACTCTTGCAGCAATCCAGATAGGGAGGATTCAGTCATTATTCCCATTTCGCAGATGAAAAAACTGAGACACAGGGATGTTAAATACATTTCCCCAGTTCACATAGCTAGTAAATAGCAGAATCAGAATTTGAGCCCAGGCAGTTTGGCTCCACATCTGATACCTTAAACACAATGCTGCATCAGACTGAAGCTTGGAGGAGGAGAGTCTGAGCCAGAGGTATAAATTTGGGAGTATAAAGATGATATTTGAAGCCAAAGAAATTCATGAGATCACCAGAGAGACAGTACAGAGAGATGAGGGCCCAGAACTGAGCCTTGAAGAACCCCAACTTTTAACATCGGGATGAAGAAGAACCAGGAAAGGAGATCAAGAAGGTATGACCAGTGGAGTAGCAGAAAAACCAGGAGAATGTGATGTCCTGGAGGTCAAGAGAAGAGAGTGCTTAAGGAGGGAGGGAGTGGTTGGCAAAACCATCAGGAGCCCTAGTCAGCTGAGAATGGGGTGACCACGGGATTTGGCAAAATGTGGGACATCAGCGACATTCATTCCCAAGGGAGCCAGGTGAAAGGGGTGGAAGAGTCATTGCAGGAGTCAAGTCCCCAGGACTCATTTCATTTCCATCCCCAACAGCCCCTGTGCCAGCCCCCTTCCCTTTGACCCTTTAGGGCAACTCTAGATCAAGTCCTCTTCGTCTCCCATCTTCCTTACTGCCTTCTGATAGATGTTTCCATCTTCACAGGCCCCATTTTAGACCAGGGAGGTCTTATTTTCATTTATATTATGGGCCCTTTTGACAGTCTCGTGACGCCTGTGGGTCCACTCTTTTTTTTTTTTTGAGATGGAGTCTTGCTCTGCCACCAGGATGGAGTGCAGTGGCTCTATCTCAGCTCACTGCAATCTTCACCTCCCAGGTTCAAGTGACTCTCCTGCCTCAGCCTCCCGAGTAGTTGGGACTACAGGTACACGCCACCACACCCAGCTATTTTTTTTTTTTGTATTTTTAGTTAAGACGGGGTTTCATCATGTTGGCCGGAATGGTCTCTATCTCCTAACCTCGTGATCTGCCTGCCTCGGCTTCCCAAAGTGCTGGGATTATGGGTGTGAGCCACCGCTCCCAGCCATGGTCCACTCTTACCAGAAGAGTGGTGTGTGTCTCTGTGTGTGTGTGTGTGTGTGTGTGTGTGTGTGTGTGTGTGTGTATGTGTGTCTGCTTCTTTAACACCTTAAGTGACAAAATCTACCAGTAAGTCTAATAACTTTCATCATTTTAATGATTGTAAATGACATGGAACTACTGGAAAGTGACATGGAAGTATCTGCAATTTCTATTAACAATTCTCCAATAGAAATTATTCAGGAGAGCAAATGGAGACTTCTTCCACACTAGGGCCCTATCAGAAGTAGAGAATACCCAAATGTGACATGCATCAGGAACCAGCCAGGCTCTCTCCTTCCTCAGCATGTGGGACTTCATCACGTGTAGGTGGCACTGGGTGGCAGAAAGAACCACCAAAGCGAATTGTACCTTTTCCCCTAAGAATAATTTTCTTTACATGTAGAACATGTAACATGCTGTCTACCTCACTAAGTCGTCATAGTGATGTTAATGAGACAATGTAAGGAAAGGACTCAGCGGTGTTACTCAAAGAAAAAAAAATATAATCCTCTTCCTTTCCCACTTCAGGGAAAAAGAAAAGCATTTCCTTTCCACACACACACAAAAATACTGATTGAACTCTCATTCTAACATTTCCATTCTAGCTATGTAAAATCTGCAAAAACAAGCATACACGCATATATACATATATACACTTGTATATGCACATATGGCTTAAGTTTTAATATAAATGGCACATACATAAATCTGGTGTCCCAGGGGTGACTGTCACTTTCCTACTGGCCAGAAGTGATAGAGCAGATGTGGGTGACATGTCCTTCCTTTCCCAGAACAACAGCATCTTCTCCAGAGTAGTAAAGGGCAGGTTCCCAGGCAGACTGAGGAAAGCCAGCCTTTGGTCAGAAGAGACTTGAATGTAAAATGCAGCTCCCATTGCCCATGATGAATTATCACTGAGTACATGTAAATGAGGTAAAATCTGGGAGGTCCAGGAGACTCAGGGAGTCGAGAAAGTCAAGGCCAAACACTCTGTGAGACTCTGGGTGAGAAAGAGAAGGGAGCCAGGAGCAGATCTGCCATTGCTAGGTATGGTAGACTCTATGCAAAAATGGCCTCAGTAATTCCCCCCATCCCTGTAGGCACAACTCTTTGCAACATGACTGCAGCTCCTCCTATATATATATTTTTAAATTTCAATTCTTTAGAGTCAAGGCCTAGTTCTGCTCCCCAGGCTGGAGTGCAGTGGCACAATCATGGCTCACTGTAACCTCTAACTCAAGCAATCCTCCCATCTCAGCCTCCCAAGTAGCTGGGACCACAGGTGTACTCCACCATGCCTGGCCAATTGTTAAATTTTTTTTGTAGAGACAGGGTCTTGCTATGTTTCCCAGGCTAGTCTGAAACTCCTGGCCTCAAATGATCCTCCCACCTTGGCCTCCCAAAGGGCTAGGATTACAGGCATGAGCCATTGCACCAGGCCCCATATTTCAAGGAGTCTATTGCTCTACCTCTTGAAGCTGGGCTTGGCCTTGTGATTTGCTTGGGGCCAGTGGGATATTAGCAAATGTGATGTAAGCAGAAACTAGAAAGCAATTGAGCACTGGGGCCTGCCCTCTCCTGCTATTGGGGATCCCTCCACTACCATGTGAATAAGCCCAGGCTAGCCTCCTGGGTGATGACAGACACATGGAGAGAAGTCCCAGCACAGCCAGTTGAGGCTTACACATGAGGCCATCCCAGATCATCTGGCCCCAGCTGAGCTAATCCAGACCACAAGAACCACTGAGCCAACCCACAGAATCATGCAAAGGAATAAATATTTATTGTTTTAAGTTACTAAGTTTGGAGGATACTCTCTACTTAGCAAGAGTTCACTGATGCACTTAAATGAGGCATCTTCCAAAGGACTGGTGTTGAGTGTCACCAGCCACAGTGCAATAACACTGGTCCATAATAACAATATCTATTTGTATGTGGAGATTTGCATTTACAAACACTTTTATCATCATGCATTCTTTTTTGTGTGTGTGTTTTTGTTGTTGTTGTTTGTTTTGTTTTGTTTTATTTTTTGAGACAGGGTCTCACTCTCCTGCCTATCCTGGAGGGTAGTGGTGTGCTCTTGGCTCACCGCAACCTCTGCCTCCCAGGCTCAAGTGATTCTCCTGCCTCAGCCTCCCGAGTAACTGGGATTACAGGTGCACCACTACCGCCCGGCTAATTTTTGTATTTTTAGTACAGACAGAGTTTCACCATGTTGGCCAGGCTGGTCTCGAACTCCTAACCTCAAATAATCCACCTGCCTTGGCCTCCCAAAGTGCTGGGATTACAGGTATGAGCCACCGTGCCCAGCCAACACACATTCTTTTTGATACAACGATCAGTCATGGGAATATTGTCCCCAGTTGATATGAGACAATGTAAGTAAAGGACTCAACGGTGTTACTCAAAGAAAAAAAATGTAATCCTCTTCCTTTCCCACTTCAGGGAAAAAGAAAAGCATTTCCTTTCCACACACACACAAAAATACTGATTGAACTCTCATTCTAACATTTCCATTCTAGCTATGTCTCCAGTTGATATGAAGGAATATTGTCCCCAGTTGATATGAAGCATAATATTTCCTGTTAGGTTGGTATCTCCATTTTACAACAGAGGACAAAAAATGAAGTTCGAGGTCATTAAGAGTTTTGCCCAAAGCGGTATTCTCCAACCCCTATCAGAATGCTTCTGATACCATGGGCATGGTTCTGACACCATGCCTCTCTGGGAATATCTTTGATACAATTGTAAAAACCTGACTTAATTAATTTTTTTGTTTGTATTTCAGCTGCAACTTGAGTTCCTTCCCTCCTTGGACCCTGGATTCCTCCCAGGTCCTATCGATCAACCTCTTTGGCAACCCCCTCACTTGCAGTTGTGACTTGTCTTGGCTCCTCACGGATGCAAAGAGAACTGTCCTAAGCAGGTAACACATTTACAAAGCAGATGGCTGAGGGCAGAGGGTCAGCCTTCAGGAGCTGAAGTTCTCCAGCTTACATCTTGCTCATGTGACCATGCTTGGCACTTTGGCCATGTTGGGCTGGGCAGCCTTTCCCATGTAGTCATACTCAGGGATCCAGGTGATGGAAGCTGCCTCCATTCCAGCCAGCCAGAAGGGGCAAAGAGCATGGAGGAGCAGACCTGGAGGCTTTTGGTGAGCCAGGCTGGGAGGTGTTACTCCTCACTTCCACTCACATTCATTAGCCAGGAGCCACACCTACCTGCAAGGGAGGCTGGGAAGTGTAGTCTGGCTTAACCACTGGGTTCTACTGAATCTTCAAGATGGAGCCTGGCCTCCTGCTCCCGGGTTATCCAGTCCTAGGCCCGTGGGCTTACAGAGCTCTCTTGGGAAATTCCTATGAAGACTATTGGCTAGAAAGAGCTGTTTTTGCAGTGAGGAGCCACATTTAGGCTGGCCACCAGGAGACAGTGGGAGCTGGGGGGCTGGGAACACCCCCAGTCCTGAGCACTTTCAAACCATTTCCACCAAGTAAACACTATACCTTGGGAGGCAACCCCCCTCACCACCATTCTGCAGGATTCTTTTTGTTTATTTGTTTGGAGACAGGGTCTTGCTCTGTTGCGCAGGCTGGAGTGCAGTGGTACAATCATATCTCATTACAGCCTCAACCTCCTGGGCTCAGCGATCATCCTACTCAGCTTCTAGAGGAGCTGGGACCAGAGGTGCAAGCCACCACACCCGGCTAATTTTTTTTTAATCTTTTTGTAGAGATGGAGTCTCATCATGTTACCCAGGCTGTTCTCAAACTCCTGGACTCAAGTGATCCTCCCATCTGGGCCTCCCAAAGAGTTGGGATTACAGGCATGAACCACCATGCCCGGCCAAGATTCTTTTCTCATCTCCCACCCAAGCCCAGCTGTGAGGTGGGGCTCAGTCTGCCCCCCAACCCCACATTCCCTCCAAAGAGAAGCACCTGGGCCCTTTGCAGTCAAGGGTCTCATCACAGTATTAATGATGAAGCTGAGACTACAGGCTCTGGAGCCAGAGAGTCCAGCTTCATCCTACTTACTACTATTTTATTAATTTATTTTAGAGACAGGGTCTTGCTCTGTCATCCAGGCTGGAGTGCAGTGGCATGATCATGGCTCACTGCAGCCTCAGACTACTGGGCTCAAGCAATCCTCCTGCCTCATCCTCCCAAGTAGCTGGGACCACAGCCATGTGCCACCATACCTGGCTAAGTTTTTGTTTGTTTGTTTTGGTAGAGACGAGGTCTCACTATGTTGACCAGGATGGTCTCCAACTCCTGGCCTCAAGTGATCCTCCTACATGGGCCTCCCAAAGTGCTGGGACTCCAGGCATGAGCCACTGTACCTGGTCTACTTACTACTGTTGATTTGAGCTGAGCTATTTCACCTGAGTTACTTTGGCCTCTACCTTCTCATCTGTAAAATGGGGTAATAGAGTCTACTGCAAAAGTAGTGCAGACTAAATTAGTTGACACATTGGAGTGTGAAGAATAGCGCCTAGCACGTGGGAAGCACTCAGAAATGGTAGCTAGTATGAGTATTTTTTTTTTTTTTTTTTTGAGACAGAGTCTCCCTCTGTTGCCCAGGCTGGAGTGCAGTGGTGCAATCTCAGCTCACTGCAACCTCTGCCTCCCAGGTTCAAGTGATTCTCCTGCCTCTGCCTCCTGAGTAGCTGGGATTACAGGCACCCGCCACCATGCCCGGCTAATTTTTGTATTTTTAGTAGGGAGGGGGTTTCACCGTCTTAGCCAGGATGGTCTTGACCTCCTGACCTTGTGATCTGCCCGCCTCAGCTTCCCAAAGTGCTGAGATTACAGGCTTGAGCCATCGCACCGGCCCGAGTATGATTTTTATTACTAGTGCTTTCTTGCCAGGAAGCAGACAGGTGAGAACAAAATGGCAAATGACACTCAGAGAATCTGGACTCCTTCTCAGTGCTTGCCCCGGGGTAGGCTCTGCCATTGCTAGCTATGGTGTCTTGGGCAATTAGTTCCTCCTTCTAAACTTCTGTTTGCTTCTTTGCCCAGTGGGAGTGAGGACAGGAGCTTCCTCCAAAGGTTTCCCCAGAATCAATGAGGTGATGTGTGTGTGCGGCGTGTGTGCCCTGGGGTGCCTGGCAGAGACGCGTTGATGGGCTTGGCAGGGGGTGACGTCGGCAATGAGGATTCAAAGCTCTGCGCAGAAGTGTCCCTGAAGCCAGACGTCTTCTAACTGGTTGGCCTCCCCTCCAGGGCAGCAGACACTATGTGCGCGCCAGCTGCGGGATCCAGCGGCCCCTTCTCAGCCTCCCTGTCACTCTCCCAGCTGCCCGGAGTGTGCCAGTCCGACCAAAGCACCACTCTCGGGGCTTCACACCCACCTTGCTTCAACCGCTCCACCTACGCACAGGGTACCACCGTCGCGCCCAGCGCAGCCCCCGCCACCCGGCCTGCGGGAGACCAGCAGAGTGTCTCCAAGGCCCCTAACGTGGGCTCTCGCACGATAGCTGCATGGCCGCACAGCGATGCACGGGAGGGGACTGCCCCCTCCACGACCAACTCTGTAGCAGGTCACAGCAACTCCAGCGTTTTCCCCAGGGCTGCCAGCACCACCAGGACCCAGCACCGAGGAGAACATGCCCCCGAGCTTGTCCTTGAGCCTGATATCTCAGCTGCCTCCACCCCACTGGCCAGCAAGCTCCTGGGCCCCTTCCCTACCTCGTGGGACCGCAGCATAAGCTCGCCTCAGCCCGGCCAGAGGACACACGCCACACCCCAAGCCCCCAACCCGAGTCTTTCCGAGGGCGAGATTCCAGTCTTGCTGCTGGACGACTACAGTGAGGAGGAGGAAGGGAGGAAGGAGGAGGTGGGAACGCCTCACCAGGACGTCCCCTGTGATTACCATCCCTGCAAGCACCTGCAGACCCCGTGCGCGGAGCTGCAGAGGCGGTGGCGGTGCCGGTGCCCCGGCCTCAGCGGGGAAGACACCATCCCAGACCCGCCCAGGCTGCAGGGGGTGACGGAGACCACGGACACGTCGGCGCTGGTCCACTGGTGTGCCCCCAACTCGGTAGTGCATGGGTACCAGATCCGCTACTCTGCGGAGGGCTGGGCGGGGAACCAGTCGGTGGTGGGGGTCATCTACGCCACGGCCCGGCAGCACCCTCTGTACGGGCTGTCGCCGGGCACCACCTACCGCGTGTGCGTGCTGGCGGCCAACAGGGCGGGCTTGAGCCAGCCACGGTCTTCGGGCTGGAGGAGCCCGTGCGCCGCCTTCACCACCAAGCCCAGCTTCGCGCTCCTGCTCTCTGGGCTGTGCGCCGCCAGCGGCCTGTTGCTCGCCAGCACCGTGGTGCTGTCCGCATGTCTCTGCAGGCGGGGCCAGACGCTGGGCCTGCAGCGCTGCGACACGCACCTGGTGGCCTACAAAAACCCGGCCTTTGATGATTACCCGCTGGGGCTCCAGACCGTCAGTTAGCCCAGCTTCTGGGATAACGCGTCTCATCGAACTGGATCTGAGCGCAAAAAGGAAGACACAGACGGTCAAAAACGACCCCATCCGCTCCTAGGGTTTCTAATTCCCGTGAAGCCAGAATGCCTTGAGCACACATGGAACTTGCCACACTGAGTGTCTGGGTCCAAGGAACTGCTGCCCTCCCTTCCTTCTACTTAACTCTGTTCCCAGAAACCTGATGGTCAATGCCAGATCGCTCCCCACTGCCGCCAGGCCTTCTTGTGTGTTGTTGGTTCATTTGCGGTTTTCAGCAGTCAGTGCCTCTCTATCCAGTAGAATAGTGTATGGACGTAGGAAGGGATGAAACAGAGAAGTTGCATAACCCAGCCTCTTTGATCATGTTAGAAATCACATCCTCAGGTCTTTCCAGCGGAAGCTCCTTCATGGTCAAGCTCTAAGACACAACGAGCTCTGTTATTCAAGAAATCAATTCCAGTGGATTTCCAGTTCCAATTCCTGAGAACTAGGGTAAGGGGGAGAGCTAATGGTTGCTTCCTAAGGCCTTCTGGGTTTATTAGTTCCATTTCAGGACATGACAAGAAAATGTACTCCCGGCTTTACAGTTAAAACCAGTTTTCTGGGAACATTTGTCAAACACAGGGAAAGGCTGTCCTTTTAAGTTAGTGTTTACTGCATTTCACCTAAGACTAAATGGACAAATGAATTATAAATTCATTTTTTAGGAGGCATAATAAACTTTGGAAATATTTTTTCTTAATTAGAGGGAAGAAATGAGCAAAAGAGAACCCGAGGCTCTAGCTAGAAGCCCGTGTTTCTCTGCCCTAATTGCATCAAACAATGCCTTAATAATCTGTGTCTTCATGTGGGAGGCATCTACTCTGTCCTCTACTTTTTCACTTTTATGCAAACTCAGGGGAAACTCAGGGGAAAAAATGATTCTATGAAATTATAATTAGAGCCATATTTCTAGATTTTAATTTTCAACATTGGCATTTATTAATTTCCTGCAGCTGCTGTAACAAGTTACCACAAACTGGTAAAAATGGCTTAAAAGAACAGAAATTTATTTTCCTACAGTTCAGGCCGGAAATCCCAAATCAAAGCATCAGTGGGGTTGGTTCCTCTTGGAGGCTCCGAGGGAGTTGTTCCATCTCCTCTCCCAGCTTCGGATGGTTGGCAGCAATCCTCAGTATTCCTTAGCTCGCAGACATCATTCCAATCTATCCCTCCATCATCTCACGGCATTCTCTCTCTGTTCACATTTCCTTTTTTTTTTTTTTTAACAAAAAAACCTAGTTATTGGGGCCCACTGTAATCCAGTATGATCTAATTCTATCTTGACTGCATCTAAAAAGACCCTATTTCCAAATAAGGTCACATGTACAGTACTGGGGGTTTGAACGTGAACGTATCTTTCTTGGGAGATGCGATTCAAGCCACAAGAGCATTTACTTCTACTGTAAGAAGAAAACAAATCGAGTTTAAATCCTATGTATCTTTTGTTTCCAAACCATGCTGCAGAAACTAAAACTGAACTGCACTATATATATTTCTAGGTGTCTGAAGTTTTGAAAGAGCTTCCCAAAACTTTAAGGTAGATCCCTAGTTTCATCATAAATGTAACTAAAAGAATTGGCCTAAATGATTTCAAAGATCTCCACCAGCTCCTGGTTAAAAACTGCAAAGCTATGATGTTGTGGGCTTGTAAAAAAAACAAAATACACACACACACACACACACACACACACACACACACACACACAAACAAAACTGCAAAGCACAGTTGGTGTGCACCTGTAATCCCAGCTACTTGGGAAGCTGAGGTGAAAGGGTCACTTGGGCTCAGGAATGAGGCCCCGACTAAAATTCGCTGCAAAAGCCCAAAATCTAGTTAGCATAAATTCCTCAGACATGTAATTAAATGACACTAATGCTTTAAGCTTACTGTCAAGGTTAAGTCTATTCAGTGAAGACAATGAAATGAATTTTCATCATGTTTTGAGTCTATAAACAAGTACATACTCAGACATGTCTAATACAATTCCAGTGTTTTATAAACTGGCAGAATTGATGTGTTTTATAACAATTCAGTATCCAAAAGCCTGAGGAGACTTGGACCATTTTCCTAAGGGATGAAGCGGGAAACGTTTATTAACCAGAGCCAGATTGAGACCTTAATAATAAAAAGATATGGGTCCAACCCATAGGTCACTCCAAATGGCATCAACACTAAACCATAAATAAGCGTTAACAAAGTGCAAAGTTCTAAATTTTCGCATAGCTACTTCAAGTCCTCTCTTTTTTAAACATTATTCTTATGTGGCTCACCCGTCACTAATGCTCAGTGTGCCTCTTGGGTGGCTCAGCAGTGGGAAGTCCACTTTCAGCCTAACTACTCCTAACAATGAAGCTGTTCTCCAGAGAGCAAGAATAGCCAGCCACATGCCCCCTTCTCTGCTTTTTCATCCCCCTCCATCTGATTCAATGGCGGTGTCCCTGGCTGCAGGCTTCAGTATGCTTCAAGCCAAGCGCAGCTCAGCTGCCAGTCTGAGAACAACCAGGACCAGCAAGCCACAGAGGGACACGCTGGTGCAGAATGCCTGGCCAAGAGGCATGAGTTTTACTTACAGCCTCCCATTCTAATTTAATGCAGCTCAACAGGCTGAGAATGGATAATCTCACTGCAGTATTCCATAATAGGCTTGGATTAAAACCAGGGACAATGGGCAGCAATAGGCCATAGGTTAAGCAGCAGCAACTAGTCACCACTGGACTGTCTTCTTCTCCCCTTCCCCATATCCCACATTCTCCTAAACATGATGTACGTGTAGCAACAGTCTTTTAAAGTCAGATGGTCAGACTAATTATTTTTACAATTTAAGTGTAAGTGATGTACATGAATGGACTCTGTGAATCGGAAAACTTACGTAACAGCAGAGAATACGTATGTTATATGGAACAACCTGAGTTGAAGGTACAATTTTTTTTCCAGCTCTTTTATTCCTTTAACTGCTTAACAAAAGAAAGAGTCTCCAAAGTTTAAAAAACCTTTGAAAAATATACAGCTTGATATTATTTACATAAAATATGAATCCAGGTTCCAATATCAAACAAACATTGCTATGTCAGAAACACAGTGGAAGGCAGGAACGTAACTCACTGCCTTTTAGATGCAAAGACTAATAGACACGTTCTCCTATCTCGACTATCTTTGTTACCTGTTATCCTCAAACATAAATTATTAGGCACCTGAGAGGTTGGAAGACTACCGAAAATGAACTTCATACCTTCTGTATGATTATTATCTTAAAAAGTTACCGCATTTTTAATCTCTTTTATAACTTTACTTCATCTACAACTAACTTCACTTTCATTATCCCAAATGATCAGGTATTAATTACATGAACTGTTAATGTATACACAGACCTAAAAATCAAACAAAAATGTATTGCCCAGTTGTGTAGGATATATATTTGAACCCCATGACATTTCCTAGTGCTTTGTGAGCAATCCAAATTTCACTTAAAAGAGAGGTGTCAATTCTGCCCATGCTCTGGACTATGTTTTTAAAAAACATACAAAAAAGACTGACAATAATTGATCTCTTATAAATTAATCAAGAAACCTAAGATTAAAAATTCTAAATTACAATTTTATTTGTATTTAAAAATACATTGGAAATTCTGCATATTCCCATGATCAACCTTATTTTCAATGCACATTACTTAAATTTTGATGACACAGTTGATTCTGACAAGTCCTTTTTCAAGCTGAACACCAAAATAGGGAAACTCCTGTACATTTCCATGGGCCCTGTTCCCATTGATGTATACTGCTTCCTTACTAACAGTGAGGGATGACTTTCATCAGTCTTTTATCACCTGAACAGTCTTCCGGCCATAATGATAGTAACTATAAGCTGATGCAGCTGTGGTGAAAGCTGTAAAACACCTTTTATGGAAGAAAAGAAATAAAATGTAGTTGTCAAGTCTAAAAAATAGTAGCAACGGGAATCATAATGAATACATGCAATGAATTTAAAATGTAAAAATGAATTTAAAAAGTAAAAAGGGCTCTGTGGTGTAATTTTTCTTAACTACAAGAGTCTAAATACACTGCTTTTCTTTAAGAGTTCATTTTAATTAGTAACGTCAAACAAAATTATTCTAGATAATGAGCCCTACAAATTACTACTACTAGCAACTGTCATTTTTTACTCGGGCATCCTCTAGGTGTCTTACATTCTCATTTTATTCTTACAACGAACTCATCCTCCAGAAGGACTTCATCCTCCAGAAGGACTCATCCTCCAGAAGGACTCATCCTCCAAAGGACTTCTCCAGAAGGGGGAAATGGAAGACCCGGGTAACTTGCTCAGGGCTTATCACAGAACTATGTTTGAGCCTGACTTCGTTTGAACTCTAAAGCCCACATGCTCTTTCTACTGCCCCATGCTTCTCAGGGTACCAGACTCTTATTTCCTGCAGCTTTTGAGAATTCTAAAGATACCTGAGTCATTTTAAATAAATTTCAGCTTTCTTTACCAAACTACCCTTAACCGGATTCTCCTTGAAATGACATCACCTGACACCCATGGCATGCTGCATGCCCACAGCTAGATTACTTTTTAGTGCGCCCACGCACTTCTGCTTTTATTAGGTGAGGCAGAATCAAGATTCCCTTTTGTTGGATCTTGAACCTGTTCATGCCACTTTGATATTCTAAATTCATACATAAACCAATGAAATATATGTGTTAGAAAAATTGCTATTTCTAGCTGGACGCAGTGGCTCATGACTATAATCCTACCACTTTGGCAGGCCGAGGCAGGAGGATTGTTTGAGGCCAAGAGTTTGAGACCAGCCTGGGCAACATAGTGAGACCCTGTTTCTACAAAAAATAATAATACAAAAAATTAGTGGCTGGGCACAGTGGCTCACACCTGTAATCCCAGCACTTTGAGAGGCTGAGGCGGGTGGATCAACTGAGGCCAGGAGTTCGAGACCAGCCTGACCAACAAGGTGAAATCCCGCCTTTACTAAAAATACAAAAATTGGCCAGGTATGGTGGTGGGCGCCTGTAATCCCAGCTACTCAGGAGGCTGAGGCAGGAGAATCGCTTGAACCCGGGTGGTAGAGGTTGCAGTGAGCTGAGATCAGGCCATTGCACTCCAGCCTGGGCAACAGAGCGAGACTCTGTCTCAAAAATAAATAAATTAATTAATTAAAAAAAAATAGCCAGGTGTGGTGGTGGCACATGCCTGTAATCCCAGCTACTCAGGAGGCTGAAGCTGAAGGATCGCTTGAGGCCAGGAATTCAAGGTTACAGTGAGCTATGATCATGCCACTGTACTACAGGCTGGGTGACAGAGCAAGACCCTGTCTCCAAAAAAATAAAATAAAAATTTTTTTAATTGCTATTTCTGAAAACTACATTGGATGCTTTAGAAAGACTCAATAAAGGTGACTTGATTAAAAAAAAAATACTGTCTCTCTCTTCATGGGTTCCTAGGGGAAAAAAATACTGTCAAAATAAATAGACAAGATGATTGTGAAAAGACTAGGGAAAATATCTAAACAGTTCTTAGACTGCTTTGCAAATGTTTTAAGTTCTTGCATCACCTTAAAGAAGTAAAAAATGAAAATCAGAGAGGTTTGTATTATGGATGTAGTTTATCCGAGAAAGAAAAAACTCCCACTGATGGACCTACACTCAAAAAGCCTTCATCCTATATCAGAAGGTATAAGATGAACTGGGATAAATGTACACTTAAATATTTTTAATTAAAATAAAAAGTTTAGAGTAGTTGTCATTTTTTAAAAGACTGCCTGGCTTAACTGACTGTGATTAGCCACCACTTTCTGGTCCAGACTGTACCAAGCAAGATAATTTTAATTCTAGTTAAAATTGTGCCAAAATATAATACTCCAATGTCAATGTGACTATTTTGAACTCTGAAAGCGTGAATTTGACACACTTTTAAGATGATAAATAAGCAATTAGTATAATAAAATTCAAACTCCTCTCTCCAGTTTTCCCTCCTACAACACCCTTTTCAACAGGCTGGACTCAGCTTCCCTACCCTCTCTCCTACACTCTATCTCTTGGCTTAGGCCCTGTCTTTCACCTAGTGGTCTCCTCTCAGTCTCTTCCTACACACAATCCACTTCATGCAACAAATGCCACTTCCTTCCTGAAACTGTCCCTCTTCTTCCTACGAAGTTATCTCTTCCTCCAAAACCCTTAACACATTATCAGTACCTTTTATCCCTTTTAATTTGTATGAAAGCTAACTTCTCCATCTCATACTTGGCAGGAAGCGTCTTAACAATGGTATCAATCACCAAATATAGCCACAGCTTTACCCAGTCAGTGCTCAACAAATGCTGTAAGAACAAGGTCATTCTAGGGCTATCACCATAAGTCATTCTGTTGACATTCTAAGAGAGTGATTCTAAATTTAGCTTACCATAGTATCTGAAGATAAATGCTGTCAGCATAGTTGAAAACTGGAGCTGCCAAAGAAGCTGCCACCAAGATTAACTGGACTGCTGTATTCACCTAAATAAAAAAAGAAAAAGTTCTAAGTGAATAGTGCCAACTGGATCCTATTTCAAGCTTTCAAGACAAAAGCACAGCCCATCACACTATAACATGACATACCCTCAGCATGCTTGCTGTTCATCTACACTATCCCTGCCCAATAAGCTTGCATTCACAGGTGAGCACACACAAAAGGGTCAGCTTCACTAACTGACCCATCTGTCTGCACAGCTGCCCTTAAGAGCAAGAGTAATGACAACTGTCAGAAAATACCACTACCTTGAATTCTCACAGCAACTCAAAAATGTTACAAAATTATTTGCCTTTTTTCCAACTGCCCATTAAAATGGAATACGAAAATAACTAAGCTACCTCTTCATGGGTAAAAGGGTAATGAGTTAGGTGACTTGCCTGCAGTCACAGCAGACAACAGAACCAAAGCTGGAACCTAGATTTCCTGGGGCCTTATCCGATGCTCCTTTCTTGCCTACCTGTCAAACCTTGTGAGGTTAGAAAATTAAAAGGCACTCATCTCAGGACAGATGCAGTGGTTCATGCCTGCAATCCCAACACTTTGGGAGGCTGAGGCAGAAGGACTACTTGAGCCCAGGAGTTTGAAACCAGCTAGTTAAAAACCAGCCAAGCATGGTGGTGTGCACCTGTACTCTCAGCTACTTGGGGGGCTGAGGTGGTAGGATATTTTGAGCCTGGGAAGTCAAGGCTGCAGTGAGCTATGATTGCGCCACTGCACTCAAGGCTGGGCAGACAGCGCAAGACCCCGTTTCAAAGAAAAAGCACTCATCTCCATAAAAGAACCTCTCTCAAGGAGGAAATGAGTAGGCTTCCCTACACTAAAAGACAGCACTGGGGAGAAAAGAAAATAGAACAAGAAATACACTGGAGACTCCCTCTATCATCATGAGAAGCACTCCATGGAAGAGTCTGCAAAGTATGAAAAAGCGAGTGAAGCAGACGAGCACCTCTGTTCTATCACCCGTTCTGCAGCCAAATGAGAAGGATTCTACTTCATTTAAAAAATAAATAATAGCCAGGCGCAGTGGCTCACGCCTGTAAGCCCAGCACTTTGGGAGGCCGAGATGGGTGGATCACCTGAGGTCAGGAGTTTGAGACCAGTCTGACCAACATGGTGAAACCCCGTCTCTACTAAAAAATACAAAAAAAAAATTAGCTGGGCGTGGTGGCGCATGCCTGTAATCTCAGCTACTTGGGAGACTGAGGCAGGAGAATCGCTTGAACCCGGGAGGAGGAGGTTGCAGTGAGCCAAGATCGCGTCATTGCACTCCAGCCTGGGCAACAAGAGCAAAAATTCATCTATAAAAAATAATAAAATAAAATAAAATTAAATTAAATTAAAATAAAATAAAATATAAAATATAAAATAAAATAAAATGTAAATTTTATCCTAAGGGCTTCCTATAAGGGTTTAAGGCACTTGTCCCCGTACCTCTTTAAGCACTTTCCATGTAACGCTACACTCAAATTGCCATACAATATAAACACAAGTCACTTGAAGCCAAACAAACAAACAAACAAAAAACAACAAAAAAACCCCAAACCCTATGCATGTAGATGAAAGTCCACCCCAGGGAGTTCTGTATAGAAGCAACTACCCTTCTCTCCCAAAAATGATGGGCATTCTTAACCTGTTAAATCCTTGACATTAAAGATGGGACAAAAGAATGAACTGAGAAAACTTATCAAAGCTACTAGAAAAACAAATATGGCTTGAGAGGTAGACTGGCATATACTTATTGCCCTGAATGCTCGGGAAAACAGAATGGACAACTAAGAGTAGCAGTTGTTTATTAGTGAACAAAACTTTTTCCTATTTTCCTATCCCTTTCCACTTAACTATCAATCCTGAAAATGAACAGCCATTTGGTATTTTCACCACAGGGAAGGAGGGAGTGAAACCACCAGGGACTCTTCATAATCTGTGAAACTGAATTAAGAAGCAGTTACAGCCAAGCTTGGTGGCTCACTCCTGTAATCCCAATAATTTGGGAACCCAAGGCAGGAGAATTGCTTGAAGCCAGGAGTTCCATACCAGCCTGGGCAACAAAGTAAGACCTTGTCTCAAAAAAAAAAAAAAAAAAAGGAACAATTACATTTCAATTCCCTTTCCCTAAACAGTGGCCCGATTACCTCATTCAGAGCTTAAACTCTCAGACCACCAACTCAAGGCACAACATGTATAAGGATGATCCAAAAAACACGGAGGACAAACTAGGTTAAAACTGCCTGCCCAACGCTACTCTCTAGCCTCTATACTCAATGCATTTAAATTTGTCTCATTTTCAGCTGTTCTTGACTAAGGTTTATATCCTGTATAATAAAAATTTACAAAGGAATAACTTCAAAGAACATTGCATTCTCTTACCTTGCTGATGAATGTTGGTTTTAACCTAGCAGTGGCATAGCAAGGATTGAAATACTTGGCAAGTGTTCGCTGGCAGAGGACCAAAAAAGATAAAGTAATTAACTTATTGTTTAAAATAACATTTTTATTTAAAATAGACATTTTGTTATTATACTTAGGTAACAACATAACTTTATAAATCATACATTCAATATATACTGAATATTGATTTTAAAAAATGTATAGATTTTTCAATTGCTGTAAAATTCGAACACAATACCTATCATATAGTTTGCTTTATAAAATTTTACTAAACTCAAAATTCCCTTATTCACTATTTTCTTTTTTGAATTAAAAAATAAAATGAACAAAATACTGCTCTACTGCTCTATTTTCAGTACATTGGGAGCCAAAAGAGGTTAATATGCTATGCGTATGTGTTCAAGTATTTATAGAGCCTGTGAATAAATATGCAAACAAACCATCCCATGTTCATACAACTGTGATTTTTAAAACCAATTCTAGACTATCCATGGTAGAGGTTAAATTAGACAATATGGCCTGGACCTATATGAAACACCTTTAAAGAATTTGCTTCTAGGGATAGGGGCTGGCTAGTCTGGGTTTCACGTGCCATCAATTGAAAAGATGTTGACGCAAAAATATGTCTTTTTGCTTTTTCCTTAAATCATATATAATGCTAAAAGAATACTTTTTGGAAACAAACTCACTGGTGTTGGAAGAGTTCGGTATCTGACATAAAAAACAGCAGCAATCAACATTACATCTCTCGAAATGATCATGTAAGTAAGTGGAACTGAAAATCAAACATAAAATAATTTTAACTGGGATTCTGAAGAGTACTAATATGCATTATGAATACAATAATATGTCATTCAGCCTTACCACAAACTGCTGTTTTCACAAATAGAAATTTTATAATGAACACCTATCGATGGTTTAGGGTCCCCTATAGCAAACTACTGATTTTTATATTCTTCTTTAACCCGCCCTCAAAACAAAGTGAAGTACAGACTATGGCTTTGAAGTCTGTATCTGCCTTTCAGTATGCTGATCTTCTCATCTGTTTGTGTTTTTTTCTTGCATGTTTTTAAGCTATTAGTCCGCAGTTATCAGCATCAGCTCTACTCAGCGCTATCTCCTCCTTTGCTACTTCTAAGCTCTGCACATTTGAAAAAAGATCACCATACTCAGAATTACATGAAAAGAGATTATAAAGAGGTGGAGAAGGATGTGGGAGGCCTCAAACTCTTCTGAAATCTCAGGAGCTTTGATTGCTTGTTCTGCATTTTAGACTATTCTCTGAAGAGTAAAATTTGCTGTTATGTGCAACTAGTAGAGAAACAGAATTTTTTTTTTTTTGAGACAGAGCCTTGCTTTGTTGCCCAGGCTGGAGTGCAGTGGCACGGTATCGGCTCACTGCAGCCTTGACCTCCTGGGCTCAATGCAATCCTCCCACCTCACCCTCCCAAGTAGCTGGGAGCACAGATGCACGCCACCATGCCTAATTTTTGTATTTTTGTAGAGAAGGGATTTCACCATGTTGTCCTGGCTGGTCTAAAACTCCTGAGCTCAAGCGATCTACCTGCCTCAGCCTCCCAAAATGCTGGGATTACATGCATGAGCCATTGTGCCCAGCGTGAAATATTGTATACTTATCCAGCCAGTTCCTTCCCAGGGATTGCTGTTTTTCTCCCTGCCCATTCAATGAATGCAACTTGTCAATATTTTTGTCATCATTCCTCAGATTTTACACCATGGTCCCAGAGCCATAGCCAATAGAAGGATATTTTAAAATAAATACCCAAGGAACCCCTATTTCCTTACTGAATGGGAATGAGATGGCAGAGAACTTGCTTCACTTTATATCCTTCTGCACCATAGAAAGTTTTTAACTGTGAACATATCTTTTATAAGAAAAAAAAATTATTATTTTTAAAAAGGGGGGAAAAAAAAAAGCCTGAGTTCAAACACTCGGTTCCAACAGCATCCAAACTATTTCAAATAAATAAAGATAAAAATAAAAAGGATCATGAACATCCCTTCCAAAATACTTTCAAACAAATCTTTTATGAATTATTGGAGGCTATACTTATGGTCCTCTCCAGTTTTGACATTCAATTGGCTCTGCAATCTGAAGAAAATCTCTAATTACAGATTTAAAATTTAAATCTCTGCTGTTATAGCTATGATGTACATATTGATCCTTGGCCTAGTCCTTGATGGATAATACTATTCCAAAGAAAAAATGCTTATCCACTCAAGTCACGGCATTTGGAGCAAACAAGATGTGGCTATATGAGCCAAGCATGAAAACAGTGAGTCATAATTTTTAGGAACATTTTTGTACCGGTAAACAAACTTTTCTGTAGCAATCATTAGCTGGCAAAATCTAACAACAATCACACTTTTAAAATGCAGCAAACCTGCACGGTGGCTCATGCCTGTAATCCCAGCACCTTGGGAGGCCAAGGCAGGCAGATCACCGGAGGTCAGGAGTTCGAGATCAGCCTGACCAACACGGAGAAGCCCCATCTCTACTAAAAATACAAAATTAGCCAGGTGTGGTGGCATGCCTGTAATCCCAGCTATTTGGGAGGCTGAGGCAGGAGAATCGCTTGCCAGGAGGCAGAGGCTGCAGCAAGCCAAGATCGTGCCATTGCACTCCAGCCTGGGCAACAAGAGTGAAACTCTGTCTTTAAAAAAAAAAAAAAAAAAAAAAGAGCAGCAAATCCATGCAAATTAAAATCTATGTATAGTATGCATGGAAGAACATGCAAGACTGCATTTAACCAGGAATGTAGGCCTATGAAATTCAGACTATGTTTGGGTCAGCGCATTAGGTTCCAACCCAACAGTGTGACCTAACAATTAGCATCTCTGGACTCAGTTTACCATCTGTAACCATCTGGTAGGGGAAAGAGCTATTAAAAAAAAAAAAATCAAGGGTTCCCCAAACTGACTGCCCATCCAAAAGTCACCTTGAGAGAGCTCAGTAAAAGCCTAGATGAAAGCTCTCCTCTGGGTGACTCCTATGCACAGCAAGGCTAGAACATTTCTGTACCAGGTGGTCTCAAAGGCCTCAGCCAACTGAAGGATATGGGCTCCTACTGTGGTTAAAAAATGTTACCAAATTTCCTGGCTTTCTCTCTTGGACTCCTCTTCTCTTCTAGAGTTAAAACAGTTTTCATTTTGCCTACTAGAGTAAGAAAGTGATGGGCAGGACAGTGTAAAATGTGTCAAGGATTTCTCCAGGTTTTCCTCCCTACTTGCTAACTCTGAAACATGGGTAATATTTGCAATGATATTTCCAGTGTCTGTAAGTAAAATTTTATTAGAACACATTCATACTCACTAATTTAAATATTTTCTGTGGCTGCTTTCACACTACAACAGCAGAGCTGAGTAGCTGTAACAGAGATCACATAGCCCACAAAGCCAGACATCATGGACAAGTTTTATTAGCATTAAAGGGAAATAGTTCATAAAATCGTTTACATATTAAAAATGGTTAACATCAACACTATAGGTTTTTACACTGAAAACGGTAAACTTAACAGAATATTCTAGAAATTGACTTAAACCAGAAATAAGAATTTACCAGATGGTAAACCAGAAACAATATAATAATACAAAATATAATAATACAAAATAAATAAAATAATAAAAATAAAATAATACAAAAATGTGGCAGAACAAATACACACAGATCTAAGTTCAGTGGACATAAATCTAAGTAGAAATTAACTTGGATTTGCCTTCCACTCTCTAATTAACATATAAGCCAAAGAATTTGTTTTCATCCTTCTCCCCCTCCCATAAAAAGACCAAAAAGAATAGCAGAATGATTTATTATTCTAGCGAAGGAAGAAAGCAAAAAAATTTCTTGATCTCCAATCCTGCAGAAGATATTTCTTACTCTTAGAGAAACAAAGCTATTAAAATGAAGGTAGATGTGACTTTTAAAAAATGCAGCATAAAAGTAGGAACATGCAAGACTGCATATATGCATCATTCTACTTTCCAAAATTCTCCTAAAATGACAGTAAAGAAATGAAAGGATATAAAAACACAAAGAGAATAAGTAGAGGAGACAGATTTCAAAGTTTTAACCAGGCTTATTAGTAATAAGGTGAGAAGAGCCAAAACCTAAGTCCTTTAGAAAGGAATTCCCACAAGAGAAACTCAGAAGTCCATATAAAGAGCAGTTAGATCCCCGCCCCAAGCGTTCCCTAACACCTTACTGCTAGGGCTGTGGCTCCCTGTGGCTAAGCGTGATTTTTACATTTTTTAATGATTGGGGGGAAAGAAAGTCAGATGACCAGTATTTCAAGACACATGAAAATGCTATGAAATTCAATTTCCAGGCTGGGCGGGGTGGCTCACACCTGTAATCCCAGCACTTTGGGAGGCTGAGGCAGGCAGATCACTTGAGGCCAAGAGTTCGAGACCAGCCTGGCCAACATGGCAAAACCCTATCTTTACTAAAAATACAAAAATTAGCTCGGCGTGGTGGTGCATGCCTGTAATCCCAGCTACTCAGGAGGCTGAAGCACAATAATCACTTATTGAAAGTTATTGGGAGGCAGAGGTTGCAGTGAGCCAAGACTGCGCCACTGCATTCCAGCCTGGGTGACAGTGTGAGACCCTGTCTAAAAAACAAACAAACAAAAAACAAAAACAAACAAACAAACAAAAACAGGCATGGTGGCCCACGCCTGTAATCCCAGCACTTTGGGAGGCCGAGGCAGGTGGATCACCTGAGGTCAGGAGTTCGAGACCAGCCTGGTCAACATGGTAAAACCCTGTCTCTACTAAAAATACAAAAAATTAGCCAGGCATGGTGGTGGGTGGCTGTAATCCCAGCTACTCGGGAGGCTGAAGCAGGAGAATCACTTGAACCCGGGAGGCGGGGGTTGCAGTGAGCCGAGATAGCGCCATTGCACACCAGCCTAGGTGACAGAGCGAAACTCCTTCTCAAAAAAAAAAAAAAAAAAATTCAATTTCCAGTGTCTATAAGTAAAATTTTATTGGAATACATTCACACTCACCTGTATATTTTCTATGGCTGCTTTCACGCTACAATAGCAAAGCTGAGTGGTTGTGACAGAGATCACATTACCCACAAAGCAGGAAATAGTTACTATCTGGCCCTTTGCAGGAAAAGTTACCAACCCCAACTCCACATGTTACTCTCTGAACCAAGGGGCACTGGAGTGCAATAGGGATCAAGCGAAGGTCTACATACCGAACACTGAGATCCCAGCCTCCTCCCACAGCTTAGCTCCCAAAACCCTGGTGGGAAGGCATTTATACTTCCCAAGCAGCAGATGGAGAGCTAGGATCTACAGAATAGACTTAAAGATACTGAGAATTCAGGCCCTGCACCCAGTGCCTACGGAGCTCCCAATGAACTTTTCATGCCTCATTCAAATATAAGTTAGCAGCCAAGGATCACCATACATTTCAATAAAGTCTCCATCACAAAAGAGAGGCCGAAACAAACAAAAAATAGAATCTGAAGGAAACACAACCAATATAGAGGTTTTTAAATAAATAAATAAATACAAGCATGCCTCAGAGACATTGAAGGCTCTGTTCCAGACCACCGCAACAAAGCTAATACTGCAGTAAAGTGAGTTGCACGAATTTTTCAGTTTCCCAGTGCATATGAAAGTTATGTCTACACTATAATCCATTTTGTGTACGGTAGTAGCACTGTCTAAATATATATATATACACACACACACACACACACACACACACAAACACTCACACCACATGCTAACAATCATCTGAGCCTTTAATGAGTCATAATCTTTTTGCTAGTAGAGGATCTTACCTCAATGTTGACAGCTGCTGACTGATCAGTGTGGTGGTTGCTGAAGGCTGGGGTGGCTGTGGCAATTTCTTAAAATAAGACAACAATCAAGTTTGCCACATAAATTGACTCTGCCTTTCATAAAAGATTTCGCTGTACCATGCAATGCTATTTGATAGCATTTTACCCACAGAAGAACTTCCTTCAAAATTGAAGTTAATTCTTTCAAGCCCTGCAGCGGCCTTATCCACTAAGTCTGTGTTATATTTTAAATCCTCTGTTGTCATTTTAATAGTGTTCACGACATCTTCACCAGGAGTATATTTCATCTCTAGAAACCTCTTTAAAAAGCAACTCAGGTAATTTTTATCAAGAGATTGCAGCAATTCACTCACATCCTCAGGCTCCACTTCTAATTCTAGCTATCTTACTATTTCTACCACATCTGCAGTGACTTCCTCCACTAGTCTTGAACCCCTCAAATCATCCATGTGGGTTGGAATCAACTTCTTCCAAAAATCCAGTTAATGGTGATATTTTGACTTTCTCCCATGAATCACCAATATTCTTAATGGCATCTAGAATGGTGAATCCTTTCTAGAAGGTTTTCAATTTACTTTGCCCAGATCCATCAGAGGAATCACACTATCTACGTCACCTATAGCCTTGGGGAATGTATTTCTTAAATAGTAAGACTTGAAAGTCAAAATGACAAGGACTGAAGAATGGATGTGTTAGTAGGTATGAAAACAACATTAATTTTCTTGTATATCTCCATCAGAGCTCTTGGGTGACCAGGTGTGTTGTCAATGAGCAGTAACATTTTTAAAGGAATCTTTTTTTTCTGAGCAGTAGGTCTCAATTGTAGGCTTAAAATATTCAGCACATCATGTTGTAAACAGATGTGCTGTCATTCGTGCTTTGCTATTCCATTTCTAGAGCACAGGCAGAGTAGATTTAGCATAATGCTTAAGGGCCCTACAATTTTCAGAATGATAAATTAGCACTGGCTTCAACTTAAACTCACTGGCTTCATTGGCCTCTAGCAAGAGAATCAGCCTGTTCTTTCAAGCCCATGCACTGACCTCTCTCTACCTATGAAAGCTTTAGAGGGCATCTTCTTCCAATAGAAGGGTGTTTTGTCTCCATTGAAAATCTGTTTTTAGTGTAGCCACCCTCATCATTAGCTAGATTTTCTGTATAACTTGCTGCAGCTTCCCCACTAGTGCCTGCTGCTTCATCTTGCACTTCCATGTTATGGAGATGGCTTTTTTCCTTAAACTGCACAAACCAAGGTTGGCTAGCTTCCAACTTTTCTTCTGCAACTTCTTCACCTCTCTGTGCCTTCAAGGAATGGAAGAGACTTAGGGCCTTGATCTATTATAGATTAGGCTTTGGCTTAAGGACATGTTTTGGCTGACGTGATCTTCTATTCAGACCATTCAGACTTTCTTTCCATAAGCAATAAGGCTGTTTTGCTTACTTAACATTTGTGTGTTCACTGGAGTAACAATTTTAATTTCCTTCAAGAACTTTTCCTATGCATTCACAACTTGGCTAGCTATTTGGCACAACCGGCCTAGCTTTCAGCCTCTCTCAGCTTTCGAAATGCCCTCCTCACTAAGCTTAATAATTTCTAGCTTTTGATTTAAAGTGAGAGACATGTAACTTCTTCCTTTCACATTGCAGGGTTATTAATTGGTCTAATTTCAATATTATTGTGTCTCAGGGAATAGGGAGGCCTGAGGAGAGGGAGAGTGATAGGGGACCCACAGATTGGTGGAGCAGTCAGAACATACACAACATTAATCGATTAAGTTCACTCTTGATTAACAGGATTTTGGAAGAAGTTGATTCCAACCCTCATGGATGACTCTGACGGGTTCACTGCATCCCAAAGCAATTAGACAGTAACATCAGAGTTCGCTGATCACAGATCACCATAACAGATTTAATAATGACGAAATCTGGAATATTGGCAGAATTATTATAACGTGACACAGAGACCAGGTGCTGTGGCTCATGCCTGTAATCCCAGCACTTTGAAAGGCTGAGGTGGGAGGATCACTTAAGCCCAGGAGTTCGAGAGCAGCTTGGGCAACATAGGGAAACCCCATCTCTATAAAAAAATTTAAAACTTAGCTGGGTGTGTGGTGGTGTACCTCTGTAGTCTCAGCTACTCAAGAAGCGCAGGCAAGAGGATCCCTTGAGCCCAAGAGGTCAAGGCCGCAGTGAGGCATAATTACACCACTGCATTCCAGCCTGGGTGACAGAGCAAGACCCTGTCTCAGGAAAAAAAAAAAAATGTGACAGAGAGGCAAAATGAGCACATATGTTAGAAAAATGGTGCTGACAGACTTGTGGACATAGGGTTGCCAAACCTTGAATCTGTAAAAAATGTCACTTTGCAAAGTGCAATAAAGTGAAATGCAATAAAAATGAGGTATGTGCATGTATGTATAGATATCCCGAATGACATTCATACACGATATAAGAACTTTTTTTTTTTAATGAAGACAAAGAACATGAGCTCTTGAAAAATTCAAAATGAGAGCCAAAAAAATTCAACGGAAGGTGGGGAATGGTAATGTTGGGGGAATCTTTCGGAAGAAAAAAAAAAACAAAGATTTTTAAAAGAAAATCTGAAAGATAAAAAGAGAATCAATCCATGAAGCTCAGTTATGATGGGGTGACAGTAGCTAAAGCCCAGAGCCCTCGAAGTTGGGCTCTGATAAACCACCTTCTAGCCTGCAGCTAGGATATGAATGACTATTCCCACAGGGTTGGGAGAAAAGATGGGCCAAAGTAAAACAGGACTCCCAGGATTGTCTCATCACCTGGTGGTCTATGTGGTCCCAGACTGTTAGCATTCCTAGGCACCTGGTAGAACAAAAAAATCTTCTCTGGTGAGTAATGCCTTGTTCATAAGAATCAAATATTCCTCCAAATTATTTTTCAAAGAATGTATCTAAACAGAAAAAAAATAACGAAGAATTAAAATACCATGAGTAAGAATCAACAGAAACAGTGAACAAATGAAAGAGACTACCAAAAGATGTAAGATTTTTGAATCATCAGAGTCTATAAAACAACTCATGTTCAAGGGGATAAGTCAATACTGAAAACTTCAGCATGGAACTAAAAACCATAAAAGACAACTTAGCAAGTCCAAAAAAGAATAAAATAGAAGTTCTATAGTTACAGAATACAATAAAGTAAGATTAAATAGATTTGGTACAGCTACAGAGACAGGTAATGAAATGAAAAATAGTAAACCCATTAGTACAGCCAGAATGGAGCTCAAAAAGATAAAATGAGCTAACACAGAAAAAACCCACTGAGATGTAATGGATACGGGGAGAACGTCTAACATAGGTATACTGTAGCCCCAAAAGAAAAGAAAGAATACACAACAACAACATTTAAAGAGATTGTGGCTGAGAATTTTCTAGCACTGACTTCAAGATATAATGCACAGATTGAAAAGTCCAATAAATCCCAAGCAGAATAAAACAGAAACTTGCAACAAGAAATATTATTGTGAAACTGAGAAAAACAAAACACAAAGAAAATCTTAAAAATAGCCACAAGAAAGCAAAATTGCCTTCAAAAAAAGCAACATGGCCGGGTGCAGTGGCTCTTGCCTGTAATCAGAGCGCTTTGGAAGGCCAAGGTGGGTGGATTGCTTGAGCTCAAAAGTTCAAGACCAGCCTGGGCAACAGGCAAAACTCCATCTCTAAAAACCATATAAAAATGAGATGGGCATGGTGGCACACACCTGTAGTCCCAGCTACTCAGAAGGCTGAGGTAGGAGGACTGCTTGAGCCCGGGAGGCAGAGAATGCAGTGAGCCGAGATCACACCACTGCACTCCAGCCTGGGTGACAGAGCAAGACCCTGTCTTGAAAAAAAAAAAAAAAAAAAAGCAATGGATTAACAGCTGATTTCTTATTATCAACAATGGAAGAAGATGACTGAGCAATACCTTAAACATGCTAAGAAAAACTAATACCAACTTGGAATTCTATACATAACAAAAATATTCTTCAAGAATAAAGGCAAAATAAAAACATTTTCAGAGAAAAAGAATTTACCAGTACACCTACATTAAAAATAATTCCAAAAGAACATACTTCAGACAAAAGGAAAATGATCTCAGATGGGAGGTCTAAAATACATCAAACAAGACAGACTAGCAAAAAGTAATAAATATGAAGATAAATTTAAATGAACATTGTATAAACAATATCTGTGAGTTTAAGAAATATATAAAAGTATGACAACAGTAGCCTAAGCTGAGAGAAATAATTGGAGTTCAAGAATTCTAAGGTGCCTCCCATGCCCAGAATGAGTACAGAATTATTAAGATCATATTTTTATAAAGATAAATGTTTTAACTTGGAGGAAAACTGGATGGAAACCGTGTAAAACTTTCAAACTAGTAGAGTGAAAGAAAATATAATTTAAAAATACTAAAAAGGACAAAACATATGTGCCAAATAAAATACTTCAAGTAAAATAAAAGACTGAATGAAACATCTATCAATCACAATAAATATTAATGGGTTAAATGCTTCTGTTAAAAGACTATATGGGTTAAGACAAAATGGGTTTTATTTAAAATATGTTATTTACATATATATTTACATAAATATGTTATTTACAAGTGATATCTAAAAAGATGCAGAAATGTAGAAGGTAAAACATTTATCATGCAAACACTACCAAAAGCAAGCCAGCAGAGCTTAAGAACCCACAAAATATATTTTAAGGTAAAAATCATTACTACAGCTATAGAGGGTCACTTCATAACAAAACATTCACTTCACCAAGAAGACGTAACAATTCTAATTCATATTCACTTTAACAGCATAACTTCAAGACATACAAAGCAGGCCGGGTGCAGAGGCTCACACCCATAATCCCAGCACTTTGGGAGGCCGAGGCGGGCAGATCACTTGAGGTCTGGGGTTCAAGACCAGCCTGGCCAACATGGTGAAACCCCGTCTCTACTAAAAATACAAAAATTAGCAGGGCATGGTGGCACGCACCTGTAATTCCAGCTAGTCAGGAGACTGAGGTAGGAGAATCACTTGGACCCAGGTGGCAGAGGCTGCAGTGAGCCGAGATGGTGCCATGGGACTCTAGCCTGGGAGACAGAGCGAGACTCCGTCTCAAAAAAAAAAAAAAAAAAAGATACAAAACAAAATCACAACTACAGAGACAAATACTGGAGAACCAGACATACAGTAGGAAACTCTAACTGCTGAACAAACCAAAAGCAAAAGAACAGTCAGTGAAGAAAGAGAAGACTTAAAAAGCAGGATTAGGCCGGGCGCGGTGGCTCACGCCTGTAATCCCAGCACTTCGGGAGGCAGAGGAGGGCGGATCATGAGGTCAGGAGATCGAGACCATCCTGGCTAACACAGTGAAACCCCGCCTCTACTAAAAAAAAAAAAAAATACAAAAAATTAGCCGGGCGTGGTGGCAGGCACCTGTAGTCCCAGCTACTCGGGAGGCTGAGGTAGGAGAATGGCGTGAACCCAGGAGGCAGAGCTTGCAGTGAGCCAAGATTGCGCCACTGCACTCCAGCCTGGGCGACAGAGCAAGACTCCGTCTCAAAAAAAAAAAAAGCAGGATTAAAAACTTGATCTAATAGACCTATGAAGAACATCATACCCAAGAACTGCAGAATATACATTCATTTCAATTCATTTCAAGTATTCATGGAATATTTATAAAATCTGACAGTAGTGGGCTGAAAGGCTGAAATCACAGAGCATGTTCTCTGAACACAAGGTTATTATGACTGAAATTGTAACAAAAAGGTAACTAAAAAAATCCCCACAAAAATGGCAACAAATTAAGATATATTTATTTTTAACCTAACAGGTCAATGAAAGAATAATAATGGAAATAGGAAAATATTGTATACTGGACAATGACACACTAAAACCAACATAGGAGATGCAATGAAAGTGACACTTAGAGGAACATATACAGTCTTATATGCAATCTTTAGAAAAGAAAAGCTGAAAAACAAGTTAGGTATCCACTTATAGCTGCACTGCTCAAAACACACACTAGACTATGAAGGCGTATAGGAAAAAAATTCTCATTAATTTATTGATTACATGTTAAAATGACAATATTTTTGATATAGTGGATTACTTAAAATATATCAATTTTCATGTTTCCTTTTTTAAAAACTACTAAAAATTTTTAATTACATAAGAATCTTCATTTTATTTCTAGACAGAATTGATCTAAAGAATTTAGAGCCAGGCATGGTGGCTCACACCTGTAATCCCAGCACTTTGAGAGGTAGAGGCACCTAAGGTCAGGATCACTTCAGGATCACCTGAGGTGAGGAGTTCGAGGCCAGCCTGGCCAACATGGTGAAACTCCGTCTCTACTAAAAATACAAAAAAACTAGCCAAGTATGGTGGCACACACCTGTAATCCTAGCTACTCAGGAGGCTGAGGCAGGAGAATCACATGAACCCAGGAGGCAGAGGTTGCAGTGAGCTGAGATCATGCCACTGCACTCAAAAAAAAAAAAAAAAAAAGAATTTCGAAAAAGAACAGCAAAGAAAACCTGAAGAAGAAAAAAAATAAAACTACAAGATGTAATGAAGTAGTAAACAACAGATCAGAGAGGCTTGACAAAACCCAAAGCTGATTCTTTCAAAAGATTCATAAAACTGACAAACCTCTGGCAAAAAAGATGAAAAAAAAAAAAAAAAAAGGGACAAAAAATAATCAAGAGGAAAAGGAGGACATTACTACATATCCTACAGACATCAAAAGGTTAATGAGAGCTATTCTGGGCCCACTGCCTATAGGGTAGCCCTGCTCCACAAGGAGTAGTAAGTAAATAAATAAAGTTAATGAGGATACCATAAACACCGTATGATACATTTTTTATAATGTAGACCAAATGGACAAATTCCTAGAAAAACATCACAACTTAAAAACTGGTCAAAAGGTGTAATATGGAGTGAGTTGGTTGAAGGTTAAAAAAAAAGATGTACTTTAAACCTGAATCATCCCGTAACAATTAAAGAAAATGAATTACCTATTTTAAAACTCTGCCCTAAAGAAAACTCCAGGCCTCAACGGCTTTAACAGATTCTACCAAACATTTAAGTAGAAATATTCATAATCAAACATCTTCCAAGAATGGAAGAAAAAAAAAAGTCCCCAATTCATTTTATGAGGCTAGTTATAAATTTGATATGAAAACCTAACAAGAATATATGAAGAATTCCAAGCCAATCTCATGAATTAAAATTTGAAATCTTCCACAAAATATTAGCAAGCCAAATCCAGCAATCTCTTCATAATATATCATGGCAATGTTGGATTTATACCAGGAATTGCAGCTTGTTTTAACATTAGAACTAATATTGCATTAATATGTGTAATTCACCACACATGAACAGCTAAAGGGAAAAATGATATGACCATAGGAATACACAAAAGGAGTTTGATAAAATTTAATATCCAGGCCAGGGGTGGTGGCTTATGCTTATAATCCCAGAACTTTGGGAGGCCAAGAGTTCAAGATCAGCATGAGCAACATAGCAAAACCGCATCTCTACAAAAAACACAAAAAAATTCAGTACCCAATTGTGAGAAAAACTCTTAAACTCCCAACAGAAGTGAACTTCTTAACTTGAAAAAGGATACTGACAAAAACCAACAGCAAACATCATCTTTAATAGTGAAACGCTAAAGGCTTTTCTATGAGGTTGGGAATAAGACATTGACACCACTCCTTGCCAACACTGTACTACTCAGTGCAGTAAGGCAAGTAAAAGAAACAAAGGGTAAAAGGACTGGAAAAGAAGAAATACGTTGTCATTAATTACATACAAGACATAAATAAGCATGTAAAAAATCCAAGCAAATTTATATGTATATTGTTAGAATACAAGTTAGCAAGTTTCGCTAGACATAACAATCAACATTAGAAACAGTACTGATTTTTTCATATCAACATGGAGTTATAAGAAAATAATTTTTTTTTTTTTTTTTTTTTGAGGACAGAGTCTCACTCCATCACTCGGGCTGGAGTGCAGTGGTATAATCTCGGCTCATTGCAACCTCTGCCTCCCAGGTTCAAGATATTCTCATGCCTCAGCCTCCTGAGTAGCTGGGATTACAGGCACGTGCCACCACATATGGCTAATTGTTGTATTTTTAGTAGACAGGGTTTCGCCATGTTGGCCAGGCTACTCTTGAACTCCTAATCTCAAGTGATCCGCCCACCTCAGCCCCCCAAAGTGCTGCGATTACAGGGGCAAGCCATTGTGCCCGGCCAGAAAATGAAATTTAAAAGCTACCATTTATAAAAGCACCAAGAACTATCATGTACTTAGGAATAAGTCTAACAAAAGTGTTTATTATCTTTCTGGAGAGAACTATAAAACTTTGAGAGATATTAAAGCAGACCTCAATGGAGTAGATACTGGACTGGAAGACTTAACATTGTAAAGATGCAAATTCCTCCAAACAGATCATAAGTTCATTGCAATCCCAATCAAAATCCAAACAGATTTTTCTCTGGAAAATTGCTGATTCTTAGAAAAGCTGATTCTAAAATTTGTAACAAATGGAAACAAATGGAAAGGGCTAAGAATGTCCAAGGTGGAAGGACTCACTCTACTGGATATCAAGACTTTTAGCAAAGCAATAAGAAGAATGCCACTGATGCAAAGACAGACAAACAATGGGGAAGAAAACAACTTAGAAATTACCTTGCACTGAGTCTGAAAAATACAAATTTTTCTATAAAAAGTGCTAGGATAACTGGGTAGCCATATAAGCATTAGAAAATGAATTAAGAGAGATAACTTTTTAAAGAAAACATCAATTAGGAATCACATTTTCTTAAAATCCTAAAAGCTTTCCAATACTAAACACAATCCCATGTAAAGGAAAAGGTATCCAAATGATAAGAGACTGTTCCGTAGCAAGTTGGAATCTCCAAGTCTATGGAAGAGGGTCTTCACAATTCTGAATTAAAATCATCTGCAGTTTAAAAATTATGCCTCCAGCCTGGGCAACGTGGTAAAACCCTATATCTACAAAAAGTACAAATATTAGCCAGGCGTGGTGATGCACATGGTGGTAGGTTCTTGGGAGGCTGAGGTCAGAGGACTGCTTGAGCTGGGAGGTTAAGGCTGCAATGAGCTGAGATTGCACCACTGCACTCCAGCCTGGGTCACAGAGTGAGACCCTGTCTCAAAAAGAAAAAGAAAAGAAAAAAAGATAAAAGATAAAAAAAAGTGATGCCTACTTCAACTGTCAATCATGTATGGAAGACAAAATAGAGACACTGAGATGTCTAAGACCTCTAAAAATCTGGCTGCCACACTCCATCCTTCTACAGAAAACAACTGGAGAAAAGGAGTAACTTAAAGCAAAGGAAGACATGGGAGCCTGGAAAAACAGACTCAACACAGAAGAAAGAAAATGGAAACTCTAAGATTGCCAGTGAAGGGAAGTCTCAGCTTGGAAAGCAACCTACACCAATCATATAAGTAAAACTCACAGCAACATTACCCATAATTCCAAAAAACCTGGAAACAATTTCTATGTTCAATAGCAAAATGACTGGCCAACCTTTGTAAAATACTACATCAAAATACAATGTAACTTTGAAAAAATGGCAGGGGCCAAGCAAGGTGATTCAAGCCAATAGTCCCATCACTTTGGGAGGCCGAGGTGGGAGGATCACTTGATCCCAGAAGTTCGAGACCAGCCTAGGCAAGAAAACTCACACACACACACACACACACCCCCATTCCCCAATCACATACACACCTCAATTCTAACTTTCAAAGAAGCACATAAAAGTAAACATTAGTCCAATTTATTTTTTATTTTGGTACGAGAACTTAAAAGACTAAAAATCAGAAAGAAAAATAATTTCCAGTTGGGGGAGACTAGACTGAAATGCCACTATACTTCTTTCTACCAAGTGTCAATAATAACATGATACCGAGGGACCATGTGGCAGCTTCTTTGTTCTCAGATACAATTTCTTTCTTTCTTCCTTTTTTTTCCCTTTTCCTAAACCTCAAAAATGCAAACTCTTAGACTGACAGTGAAGGGAAGTCCCAGTGTGATCAGATATGATTCCTAGCTCTTGGGAAAAAAACAGTTTAACTTGGTCTGAGGGAGAAAAACTGAGAAATACGACTGAAGAAGAAAATGAACAATCAGAAAAGCACATGCAAAATACAAAGCAAAAAAATCATGAAATCTTATCAGAAAAAGTATTCATATAATGTACAAACTATATATATGATTTAAAAATTGCATAATAGGGTCTACATAATGTGAAATTTTATAGACATCTTCAGAATTTCAGAGTTCTCACTTATGATTAAACGATATTAATAAAGATAATAAACGTAGGAAAACTAAATTGCTTTTGAAAAGCTAGGCACTAAAAATACATAATGTATCACCAAAAAATTTCAGAGTAATATGAATTGGCACTGTGAAATATTTATTCAATTTTAATTTTAAACAATCTTACTAGGAAAGCAACTGATTTTACTAGTAAAACAAGGACATAAATTCTAAAATCCACAAGTAGTTTGACAAAACAGTTCAACAGTTTAAAATTAGGGAAACAGTTTAAAGTTGAAAACTATATTTTTGGAACAAAAATTATTTGTCTCTCAAGAGAAATCCTAAGCTGACTAATGTCATTCTTCCCTGTGCTATTCAAAAGTACGCATGACGCGTTCTTACCTGGAATAAGATCTGCATAGGTCAAGCTAACATATAAGATACTGATAAGTATTTTATCAGCAAGTGGATCAAGAGCACTTCCCAAAGCTGATCTTTGATTGGCCCAGTTTCGAGCAATAAATCCATCCAACTGAAAATAGAAGTTTTTTTTTATATATATAAATGTCATAACAGGAACAAAGCAGATATTCTGAAGCTTAAGATATACCAGAATAACAATTATACTCTCATAAAATGTTAACAAAATGTCTTCTGTTTCTTACCCCCAAACATTCTCATTCTTTTGCTGGTATACATTTCGCTTTTAAATTAGCAACTGGTCTTAAAATAAATGCACATTTATTTTCTTTCCCCCTCAAGTCCTTCTGGTTATTTCTCGGTATTTTCACAAGGCCCCTTTGTGGGATGAACCCAAATACACATTTAGAGATACGGTTAGTGATGTATTTACAGCTATAAAGAACCCAAAGAAAACTCAAAGAAAGCATGAACGGCAGAGCCTGGACTAGGATAATATAATCCAACTCTGTTAAAACTTACCATTTTTCTGTTTTTCAACTCATTTTGCTCAATACCACTGTTTATTCCATACTCTGACTGTATCTGCATTACCTACATTTGAATAGAAAACTCAATCCTCTCTACCTGGCCTAGTTAAAATTCTGATACTTAAATTATTTATTTTTATATTATTGTGATTAAAAATAAACCATTTAAAGCATAAGTCACATCTAGTTGCTAGTGGGCCAAATGGAGCCTGTAAGCTGGTTCTGTTTGACCTATCAGAGCTTTTAAAAACTGTAATTAGTTATCAACATGTAAGTATTCAATTCTTCCCATAAAAACCCAGGTCTCCATCCTAACTTGAGAAGGGAGCGGTCTGGCCACTCTGGGGCCACAAAATGGACTGAAATCAAGTACTGTCTATTCACATTAAACAAGGCAGATATTTTCTGGTTTATCCAAGTCCCTTCCTGGCTTTTACTCATTTAACTTCAAGTTTCAACAAATGTTTGAGTTCTCTAATACTATTTCTAAGGGGAAAAAAGATTAATTTAGACGCAATTAATCATGGTTCATTTTAAAGAACAAGTAAGTTGTCCATATCTCAAGTATTCCAATGAGTTAGAGGAGACAGCGGTAGTCCAGGACCGTGGTAAAAAAAAATGTGGTCTTTGTAGCAGAACAGAAGCTGTTCAAGTCCTGGCTCTGCCACTTAGTAGCTGTGTGATCTTGGATAAGTTATTTGGCCTGACTAAGCCTTAGTTTCCTCATCTGTAAAACAGAGATAAATTACCTACCTCAAAGGGGTGGTTGTCTTCAGCACACAATGTGATTAATACTTGTTCAGCACTCAGCACTTAGTAAATCCTCAAAAAAAGCAGTTACTAGCTATTGCTATTGCAACTGAAAAAATCTATTTCCTTCTTAAGCATACGAACAGAAAAGTACCTAGCCTGGGGAGCTGGGACCTTGGAAGATCAGGTTTAGTTCAGTTTCTGACCTCAGGGAACTTAACCTTTCACTTTTTCGCCATCATCACCCTCTCATCTTCACTATTCCTCTAATCCACACTAGATTCCAAGGTCATCAACATCATTCCTTTATAAACATCTGTAACTCCCCTTCACTCCACTCTCCTTCAACACTGCTTAAAAGCAACTCTCCATGTACTCTGGGCCTGCACCTAAGAGCTGAATAGTGCTTAAGGAAAACACACAAATGGGAAGACTGGTCTCACTTCAAACTGATGACCACAAATCTCCCATGGGCACCCAATACTGCCTAGCAATCCCACACTTGTTTACCATATTTACCCTCTCTTTTCACACTGTCTCTTCCACACTGTCTCTGCTCTCACCTCAGACCTAACTCCATCCCTCTCGCTCATGGTCATGTCTGTATTTTCCTTAAGGAAAAAGAAAACCGTAGTCAGCCCATCCTCATATTCCCATCATCAAATCCCCCACCTACCTGCATCCATTCATTCTCTCTGCCTTCCTTCATCCGTTCCCATGCCCTCTCACCTTCTGTGACCTGCCTCCCTTCTTCCCCATCTCCCCTTGCATCATCCATCTCTCCCTTTCATTTAATCTTTCTACCTGATCATTTAATTAATCAGTTAACTAACAACAAAAATTCACTGGGCACAGTGGCACACCTATAGTCCCAGCTACTTGGAAGGCTGAGGTGGGAGGATCGTTTGAAGCCAGGAGTTCAAGGCCAACCTGGGCAACACGAGATTTATCTCAAAAAAAAAAAAAAAAAGGCCAAACAAAAATTCCCCAGTATATACATATACTCCAGCATATATTTTTATATATAGGATTTTATATCTATCTATCTATATACACATAGATATAATTCCCCAGTATATATCTTTTTAAAAGACCCTTCTGTGATCCTATTTCTCTATCCCCCTACAAAGCAAAACTGCTTCAAAGGAACGTCCAATGTCATTACCATCTCACATGTGTTCATCGACCCACTCCAATCGTCCCCACCCCTCCAGAGGTGAGGCTCATAAAGGTCACCAAGGAACTCCGCATTTTTAGAGTACCTGACCTCGACACAACTGAAGCACTTTCTCCACTTTCTGGGAAATCTCACTGCCTAATTTTCTTCCTCGCCAGCTATTCCTTCCCAGGGTTCCTGACTGGCTTCTTTTCTGGTGCTTTACTTGTTGCTCATTTCTCTGACCCTTCATTCCTGTTACCTCAGCCTGGATGATTTTACCCAGATCCAACCATCTATATCTGACAGCTCCCAAATTTCTCTCTCTGTAACGATGACTTCCTCCAACTCCAAACTACTAAACTGCCCAACTGATACTTCTATGTGGATAGGCAACAGAATTCTTAGTATTCTCCCTTAAACTCTGCCCTACTCAAGTGTTGCCCATCACAGAAAATGTCATTTCCATGAACCTGGTTTTAGAAGAGAATTTTTTTTTTAAAGTAAGTCCCTAGTATTCATATTTGACTCCTCCCACTCTCACTCCATATCTAATCCATCCACATATTACTTCTGTCTTTAAAATATATCTCAAACCCACACACTTCTCTCCAACTCCAAACTCCAACCCCAGTCTAAGCTCCCACCACGGCTGCCATGGAACACGGCCAGCCCCTAACCAGTTACTCTGCTTCCACTCTTGCTGGATCATGGTCAGCCCCCTAACCACTTACTCAGCTTCCACTCTTAGCTGTCTATAATCCATTTTCCACACACAACGCAATCAGACTTTGTCGTTCCCTGGCTTAAACTGATGAGTCCGACCACCTCCCAGTGGCCAATTGAAAGGCACTAAAATCTCCATGGAACAAATGTGAAATGTGGCACCAGTTAACTTAGGTTTCCACAAACATCATCTTATATATTTAGTAAAATGTTAATGGGGCCTCTCTAACATTCAATGAATACTGCAATCTCATGTGGCAGCTTACAAGAAAAAAAAAAACGTAGCAGACAAAAAAGGAGACTACAGTAACTGAAAAAGATCTTGTCTGTTATGTTAAAAAAAAACTGTTATCAGTATAATGGCCTTTGACAGACTTGGAGATAATATTAACAATGAATGCAGGCTTTGGGATAAAAGAAGGGACAGGCCAGGTGTGGTGGCTCACACCTGTAATCCCAGGCCGAGGGAGGCCGAGGTGGGTGGATTACCTGAGGTCAGGAGCTCGAGACCAGCCTGGCCAACATGATGAAACCCCATATCTACTAAAAATACAAAAATTAGCCAGGCATGGTGGTGCATGCCAGTAATCCCAGCTACCCAGGAGGCTGAGGCAGGAGAACTGCTGGAACCCAAGAGGCAGAGGCTGCAGTGAGCCGACATCACGCCACTGCACTCCAGCCTGGGCGACAGAGTCAGTCTCCCCAAAAAAAAAAAAAAAAAAAAAAAAAAAAAAAAAAGCAGGGACAAAAGAAAAGGAGAAAGATTGTGAGAATGGGAAGAGGTAGTGACAAATATTAGTAGACGCTAAACTCTGGAAAAAGAGAGGTAAAGCCAATTTGGGAGGCTATGTTTGAAGCAGGTTTGGAAATGCCATGTAACAATGCAAATGCTCTCTTTTGTCTGCACTCCAAAATCTTCTGTTAATTTTATGTTGCCCACCAATGCTACTGCTACTAGGAAGGTGGAATTTTGTTTCTATGAACCTCGAAGAGAACAGCTGATGTTACAAAGAAAGACGGCATACAACTTTTATTAATATAAAACTAGTTTCTCTCGATTCTCACTCAATAAATATTGAGCAAAGCTTTTCAAACATAAATTAGTTTGAAGAGGCACCAAAGCACCGCCTGTCTGGATGCTCATATAGATCTCAGACCAACCTTGTACAAGAATATAATGTATCTATTTCTCCTGCTAACTCTGCCCTGGTTTAAAATTATTCCTCCATCTTTTCCACACTTCCCTCAACTATGTTTTTATACAGCATGAAGTTTTTCCTTTTTTTTTTTTTAAGAGACAAGTTCTTGCTCTGTCACCCAGGCTAGAGTACAGTGGTGCGATCATAGCTCACTGCAGCCTTGAACTCCTGAGCTCAAGCAATCCTCCTGCCTCAGCCTCCTGAGTACCTAGGACTGCAGGCGTATGCCACCATGCCCAGCTAATTTTTAAATTTTTTGTAGAGATAGGCTCTTGCTATGTTGTGCAGGTTGATCTCAAACTCCTGACCTCTCAAAGCACTGGAATTACAAGTGTAAGCCACTGTGTCCAGCCAGTTTTATAATGCATTTCGAAACTTTTTTGAAATAAAGTTGGTAATACAAATAATGTCATACATGATGATGGCTAGCCAGTCCACAAAAGCCTATTTAATGTAGCCTTCTGTTATAAAATTATTTTCCAGTTCTAATTTGAGATCATCTGAATAAATCCTCCTCTCCTCTATCAAAACTAACAATGTAGTATCAAGGAGAGCTCCTCTTCTTTGTCCATCTGCTGAGGGAGGAGAATGAAGGAAGGACGTCCAATTGTCAGCCCAGAGCAGAGTATTCTGCAGGGCAGTCAGAGGGGTGTAGAGCAGAGATCAGAAAATAAATCTGTGGGGGTACCTACAGCCTTCTGCTAGCATGAAACCTGAGCAAAGCTATGACTTCTACATGCTTCTGGTCATATCCCAGTTCCCTGGGTCATAACAACTGGTCCAGTTTCCCTCTCCACTAGGAAAACCAACTTTTTTTTGCAGATCTGAGTATTCCTCTTTACCACAATACATAGAAAAGTCATCTCAGATCTCCTCTCCTTTATTTCTATCCCTAAAGCAAGCACTCAGCTCTTTGGAAATTTCTAAGGGTGTTTCTTTCACTCTTAAAAACCAAGAGTACAAAGTATCCCCTCCTTTACTTCCCTACAACTTTCGCTTCCTCCTTGAAATCATATGAAAAAAAAAAAAAAAAATCCCATATAGATGCTAAAGACAAAGTCCTCACAAAAAGTACCACGTCAAATTCATCTTGAGGTTTTCCTCCCAAGGAAAAGCAGGCTAAGGCTATGCTATTTCGGTTTAGTAGTACAGACCAGGATTTGGAAGGAGAGCAAACTGGGAGTGCATTTACAACTTACCAAATCTGTTAGTCCAGCTAAAGCAAAAACTCCTAGTGCAATATTAAAATCTTCTTCAATAATCAAATAGCCCAGAACTGGGGCCAAGCCAATTCTCGTCATTGACAACATATTCGGGATTGTCCATGGGTTTTCATACTGAAACACAAAGACAACAAAATTTAAGTAAAATACTATGAATTCATACTTTGAATAACTATATACATACATTAGAAAAATATACTTCATCAACTTCAGTCAGAAGCTACATAAACTTTAAATTTAGTACATTAAATTGAATTTTAAAATCCATTCTGTTCTTTTTACAGATATCTCCCTAAAATCTTCTTTCAAGAATACAGAAGATGGCTGGGCATGATGGCTCACGCCTATAATCCCTGCACTTCAGGAGGCTGAGGCGGGAGGATCCCTTAAGCCCAGGAATTAGAGACCAGCCTGGGAAACATGGAGAGAATCCCATCTCAATTTTTTTTAATTAAAAAAAGAAAAAAAAAGAATACAAAAGATGAAGATGTATCATGTACCGAAACACAGGGTAAGGTGTCTTACATATTATAGGTTTCCTTTTCTCTTTTTTTTTTTTTTTTTTTGAGATGGAGTCTAGTTCTGTTGCCCAGGCTGGAGTGCAGTGGCACAATCTCGGCTCACTGCAACCTCCACCTCCCGGGTTCAAGTGATTCTTCTGCCTCAGCCTCCCAAGTAGCTGGGATTACAGGTGCCCGCCACCATGCCCAGCTAATTTTTGTATTTTTAGTAGAGATGGGGTTTCACTGTGTTGGCCAGGCTGGTCTCAAACTCCTGACCTCGTGATCCACCTGCCTCGGCCTCCCAAAGTGCTGGGATTACAGGCGTGAGCCAGCATGCCCGGCCTATTATAGGTTTTCTTAAGAGAGGGAAGACAGAACACATGTATTATCTGCCATATAAGCTAAGCCTTTAATATATAACTTCATTGTAAGAACTCAGAACTTTCAACACTCTGCTTTTAAAGGTGAAACTTCAGGAAGATCTTGTAAATAGACAAACAGTGTCTACTTACAAGTAAAAGTGTCAGGAAAAAAGGCCAAATTATCAACTCCAGGCATTCAGCTTTAAATACTGCAAAGAATCTCCCTCACTCCCTTACACATATCTAAAGAATGCTAAATGCTATATAGAGTGTATGGAGGTTTGAATGAAGAGAACAAAAACAGATTTAATTCTATAACCTCATCACTAAGTCAGAGAACTGCTAGAAGAAAATGGAGATAGGAATAGGGATTGTGATATTTGGAAATCGAGAAATTGTGTAAATTTGTTCAAAACAGTCATGGAAATGTTAAGATCCTCAACTAAAAACCAAGGACTTTCACAGCTCCCATCTGGGGGCTTTGCAATTCCTAGACAACTCATTTGGAGCCAAGCTGTTTGAAGTTGGCACTAACAAAAGAGCTCTTTGGCAGCTGTCTGAAGAACATCCCCTTCTTGCCAAACAGAATCTGACTCATGAGAGGATATTTCAGCTTTGAAAAGCCTCGGCCCAGCGGAGCTAAGACACCTTGCACAACAGGGTACAGAAATAACAACAAGAAAACGCCTTTCCCTGAAGCCTAGATTTTTTTTCTCCGCTGTGTCAAGACTGCCAATTCCACTCCATGGGACTTTCTCTTCTCTAGAACCCCTTTTAACCTCTTTCTTAATCAGTACTAGCCAACTTGCCTGAATCTTAATTTTGGTTGTAAAAAAGGTGGCAAAGGCCATTTCTGAAGATTCTTTTAAAATTCCATTTCTGAAGATTCTTTTAAAATTCTATGAACTATCCTGTAAAAAAAAAAAAAAAAAAGTATTCTCTAAAGACACTATGTCTGTGTTTATAAAAGAAACCCAGCAAGAAAGCACCTCAGCTTGGAGGGATAATTAAATAGTTATTGCTGGGGTCAGGTGGCAGAATACTGTCATTGAAAGCTATAGAAAAACTTCAAATTATCCGAAGAGCAATCACAAAACAAGAAGCAATACAAACCTCTACTCTGAGATCTTTTACTGAAAGTAATCCACATTATACAATGAAAACATTCTTGGAATACATCCCAAATTCAAGTTCAAATATCAGAGTGTTTCAGAGTCCAAAGAAAAAAGATAAGTCTGTTGACCATACTATGGTAGAGAATAAGTCAAATACTGATCAAAGGTTACAGCAACTCAAAGGGAAGAGTGGGAGGGGAGAAGGCTGCACACGGTTGCAAAAAAGCAGTAAGCAAAAGATCAGAAAAAAGGTCCCCAAATTAACTTCAGAAATTATCCACAGGGCAAAATTAAAGACAAAGTTGTAAACAGAAACATCATTTCATTTGGCGAATTAACAAACAGAACTCAATGTTGCTGGAACAGTGAAGGGAGTTCTTTTTAGCTCCACATAGAATATTTCAGTTAAGGTGTCTCATTAATTTGTAATCATTAAATCCGTAAAAGTTTCAAAGTTAATGTTAGGAGAGCTAATCTCAGATTACTCAACCAGATAACCTGTGGCATACTCGACCAACTACTGCCGTTCTGGGAAGGACTTCAGTCAGGATATGGCAACTTCAAAGTATCCAGCATTCAAACCCCAACATGCTTTAGCTATCAGTGGAGTTGAGACCCCTGCCAGGATCTGGCCACCTCAACCCATGCTGTACAACTGATGAAAGCAGTACAGGGGCCACTGAAGACATAACAATTGAAGATGTAATAATTGCATGAGTCTTGCTAACATGACATCAAAAGCTCTCCCACACTCATGCTCGGGTGTCTTCTGTCTGGGTAGCATATCAACAGGTAAGTGGACAAATACTTCCCTCCGTTACCTCAAGAATAGTTTAAATCTTTTTCTATAATTAAAGGTTAAAAGATCTTTTAATTACGACCTAAATTATTTAATTACCTTCATCCTATAATGTGTAAGGTTACCAAAGGTCAAATGATGGTGAACGGAACTTGCACAAGCAAACAGAAGGGCCTGTATACCTTTCTAAATATTCCCAAAGACTTGCCCTAAACACTGGGGATTCACTTCAAAAGAATTAAAAATAGGCTTTTAGTAAGACAAGCGAAGGCTACCTTTATCAATGCAATATGCAGAGGCGGCCCTTCCAGCAACGGGTGCAGATAGAAGGGGGATGAGAGGATTTCTAACTTGACCACAGAGACCGTAGGTGGACCCCGCTGGTGACCCTGAAATTCATCCCGACCGAATGACCTGCCAGTAACTTCTTTTCAGGGAAGAGTCTAAAAGTTAGGAAACGGAAGCGTCCGAGCTGCACCACCCAGAGCTTGTTACCTGAGTGCAGGGGCGGCGACCCCAGCCCAGGGCCGGCCCGCCGCCGCCTCATCGGTACGTACCAGGCTGGGGGTGCTCGCCGGGCCCCACTGGCCGCCCGGGGCTTCGGCAGCGGCGCCCGCTCCGGCCGCTGGCCTGGGAGCCGCCTTCCCCGCGCCCGAACAGTGGTTCCGCTGGCCGATCCCGGGCAGCCGCAAGCCAAGAGCGGCCGGACGCAGCCTCCAGCGTTCGGCCAGGCAGCCCAAGCAGCAGGGCACGGGCGGCAGCAGGGCCCAGCAGGCGCGTCGCTTACTCGGCCGCGTTCCCGGAGCCCAAGCGGCGCCGCGCAGGGCCCCCCACGAGCCGCGCGCCACGCGCAAGGCTAGCATGGCCCTGCGGCCGCGCCGCGGGGTCTCGGGCGGCGAGAGCTCAGCAGCCTGGGACACTGGCGAGCCGCTTCTCCATGGAGACCCGGCAACCACTCAGACACTGGGCTACCGCTGCCTCCATACTACTTTACACACCCCAGCACACTCCACTTATACAGGTGGCAGGAAGCCGCCAAGGGCGGACGCCTTCGCGACGCTTTTACGACACCGTCGTCGTCGGGCTTCCCGGCGCCCCTGGCACAGCGGAGGCGCGCGCATCAGGCTCAGTGGGTTTTGGGAAGCAGCGGGTACGCGGCGCTCTCTTCTCCTGGCCCGCAGCCGGGAGCCAAGGCCCGGGGGTGGGCGGGGAAAGGGGAGAAACGAACAAGATAGGATGACCGCGCAGCCGACGTAGCCGCGAGGGGGCCGGAGCCACCTCAGGCCCTGGCCTGAAACCCTCTGAGGCGGGTGGCCGGCAGAAGGGCCCCCTCCAAGGTGCGTGCGGCGCCCTACGGTTCTTGTGGGTGGTTTACAGTATCTAGTGCAGAAGAAATGATTAATAAATATTGGCTCTGTAATTCTCTCCTCTTTGAGCATTGAATAAAGATGCATATGCTAAAAATATAAGCATTAGTAAATGTTAGTAATAGCAATGGCTGATTGTTTTGCTGAAAACAGTAATACTATATTATCCAGAATCAATGTTTACCTATGAGAATTGTCTTTTTAAATAGTTTTTATTTTAAATTTTTACATTGCTAGTACAAAAGTTTCAATTATACTATATAACCAGGCTATAGTGCATCATCCCGTTTAATCCTCCCAACGACTGCAAGATGAGGGTTCCATTATTACTTTTACAGATAAGGAAACTTAGGTTTAGAGAGGTTAAGAAACTTGCCTATAATATCCGAGACAGTTATGAATCAGCTCACCATTAATTAGCTGATTAATATATTCAGATTAGTATACTAAACATATTGATACATCAATATTTGCAATGTTACAGAATTTTTTCTTGTTGAATTCAGTGTTGAACTGAATTTGAATGATTATTGCCGCCTCTCCACTATCGCCCCACTAACCCCATCTATGATGGCTGAACTACCTTACAGTTGAGTTTAAAGTCTTAATTCGGGTAGTTAGGAAAGGGAAAGGCCAACTGAAAGTGAGCAACATTGTAGATGAAGCAGCGGGTATTTATCCAAAAAAAATCTATTTCTTACATTGAAATCCTGACATTGAGAGAAAAATGGAAACTTCTGCAACAGCAATGTAAAAATTTTAAAAAATTTAAAAACTATTTAAAAACACAGTTCTCATAGGTAAACATTAATTCTGGATAACCCTGGCAAGAGGGAGTGGGCAGGATTCCAGTCTCTCCCTTCCTTTCATGAGATTGCCTTTATTCACTCTCCGCTTCCTAAGACACTCATTGTGTCTTGGGACTTCTTTCTATTCCCTATATTCAGCCTGTACTTCATCTGCCTCTAATCCTTGGCACTGAGGACACAAACTTGTTTTTGTGTTTTTTCCCTTTGTTGCTCTGATAGGTTTTATTTCTATTACTTATGGTATTTGTCCAACCTTTTATTAATTTTTTCTAAATTAATTCTAGTTACTGTGTTGATTTCTTCAACTTCCGTACTACTATTTATGGTAATCTAGTTTTATCCAGGCTTTGTGCCCTCAAGAATAACACCATTACCTGAGCTCTTCACTTATTTGCCTTATTGTTTGGAGCTAGCATTCATAGGTTTCTGTTTTAGATACCATTTTAGTTGTATATATTTTTTGTATATTTCAAAATATGGAATTATACTGTTATCAATGTTTAAAATAGAACATCCCCAAAATTATCTATGTAGCAAATTTTATGTTCTTCCTATTTTTCACTTCAATATAAAATTAGAGAAAAAAACTCCAAGATACAATAGAGTCCGCCAATTAAAATATAATAAACTGTTTTGTATTTAAAAAGCCAGCTCTACTACAAACTGCTGATGGCTAATTGTCTTTAAAAAGTAGGAAAATAAAGTGGCTGGCATTTTGGCCTGAAAGACAATGACTGCTCAATACTTATGACTAAAGAGTAACATGCTTTTAACAAACTGTTTCCCTAACATTTTAAGACGGGAGAACATCCAGCTATCAGTCTTTGATCTCATTTTCTAGAACTTGACAGAAGTCAATAAATGAACAGGTTAATCTGGGATAAAGGATGGAGAAAATGCAGAAACCCAGTGAAGTAGAGTTTAGAGCAGGGCAGGGGGCAGAGGAAACCAAAATATTCTACAGTTAGTAACTGGTTTATAATGTTCATTTCCTGTTTTATGAATTCTGTAATAATTTCTATCCAAGTAGATTAAACACACAGGCACCTCATATGTCTGAAGGGACTGGGAATATCTGTCACTGAACTTTTTTCCCAAATGGGGAAAAAATTAGAATAGTAAGTCTGTAATAAAAATATAAATAAAAATCTATATATAAATTCTACGTTTCATGAAGTTCATTTCAAATTTTTCTCTCTCCACCCTTGTATCAGAATTATTTTCATAAGTAACCAAAATGTACTGGTCAGGTGTCTTATCCCAACTTCTGTAGTCAATCATGTAGTGCTTACCCCAAGAGAACGTGAAAAGAGAAAGGATTGTTCAATCTTGAATAACTGGCCTGTTATTAACTGTTTAGTTCATCCTTTCATTGATCCTTTGCTGAGTTGTGAACATAAAAATTTGGCCCCTAGAGGGTAGTATTGTCTTGCCACTTTTAATGTTTTCCTTGGTTAAGTTGCAAAGTGCTGTGTATGACTGTGCTGTATATTGGAACAAATTACCTCTTTGCTACAACTTCTTGGAACCTGTTTTTAGGCTTTCTGTTTTTGTTTTTTTGTTTTGTTTTGTTTTGTTTTGAGATGAATCCTCGCCCTGTTCTTGCCCAGGCTAGAGTGCAATGGCGCTATCTCGGCTCATTGCAACTTCCGCCTCCCAGGTTCAAGCGATTCTCCTGCCTCAGCCTCCCAAGCAGCTGGGATTACAAGCGCATGCCACCACGCCCTGCTAACTCCTATGTTTTTAGTAGAGACAGGATTTCACCATGTTGGTCAGGCTGGTCTGGAACTCCCAACCTCAAGTAATCTGCCCACCTCGGCCTCCCAAAGTGCTGGGATTACAGGTGTGAGCCACCATGCCCAGGCTGTTTTTAGGCTTTTGAAAATTCTGCAACCCAATCATTCTTTCTCACTTATCACTTCTATTTGAAGTTTAAGCTTTTTGAGAAGAAAATCTTATTCCAAATCTATTATGAATATTTTCTGCCTGGGGATAAATGAACAAAGTCTAGAAATATGTGTACTGCGTTCTTATATCAGATATGCAGTGTAATGTAGTGTTACTTGTGTTATTTAGTCTAGGACACAATAAACTTGGGCTACTTTTTGTTTCCTAAAACCAGAAGAAGATAATGTAAAGAAGGCAGTTTTGCAAATGAGTCTTATGTAAATATTGATTGGAAGTTAAATCAAATTAAAACAGCTGGATATGGTGGCTGATACCTGTAATCCCAGCACTTTGGGAGGCCGAGGTGGGTGGACTGCTTGAACTCAGGAGTTCGAAACCAGCCTGGGCACTGTGAGGACCACCCCCCCACCCCCCTGCCCCGCACACCGTACCCCCCGGCTCCCCCCGCCCGCCATCTCTACCAAAAATACAAAAATAAACCTGGGCATGATGGTGGGTGCCTGTGGTACCAGCTACTCAGGAGGCTGAAGTGGGAAGATCGCTTGAGCCCAGGGAGGCAGAAGTTGCAGTGAGCCGAGATTGTGCCCCTGCACTCCATCCAGCCTGGGTGACCCACCGAGGCCTTGTCTCAAAAAAAATTCTCTAGGAATCAATGACAGTTAAATCTTACAGGAGTAAGCTGTAATTACCAGGCACTAAACCCAAAGATGTGTTTTGAATAACCAGTAATCCAAATAAGGCACAGGTTTCAATCATTGTAATAAACGCACCGTCCCACAGCCTAAATAGGAAAAAACTAAATGATGGGATTTAAGATTTGAAACACATGTAAGCAAAAGAGTGCATTGCTGGTAGGGCCAAGCACCTTGGGCATAGCTCCTCAGGACTTGCAGAGATTAACTCCACCTAAACTCTATAATTTAGATTACTGTTTAAATTATCAAGAGATCTAAACTAATTCTCCTTTTCATTTTTGTTATTTTATTTTTTATGTAAGAGACAGGGTCTTACTATGTTGCCCAGGCTAGAATGCCGTGGCTTTTCACGGGGCGATCCCACTACTGACCAGGACGGGAATTTTGACCTGCTCCATTTCTGGCCTGGGCAGGTTCATCCCTCCTTAGGAAACCTGGTGGTCCACCACTCCCAGATCAACATGTTGATGCCGAACTTAGTGTGGACACCCAGTCAGCATAGCACACTATAATAGCCCAGAATTCCTGGCTTCAAGCAATCCTCCTGCCTCAGCCTCCTGTGTAGCTGGGACTACAGGCATGTGCCACTGCACCTGGCTAAACTAATTCTTATGTCAACTTCTAGTGCCAACCTTTCCACATTTCTTCCTGAAAATGTACTGATGTCACTAGAATATGTGAACAATTAAGTCATTACTAAGTTTTTATATGGTTGTTTTGGAACCTTTAAAAGAAATAACATTCTCGTAAGGCAGGCATTATCTACAAATAAGAAAGTAAAAAGGGTTGGTTTTAATATTTCTTTCCTCTCTGCTCATATTTTAAAGGTGATAAAGGGATTGTTAACATCATTTAGTGTACAACTAGCTTTATTTTCCATTCCATTCCTCCTTCCTGTAAAGATTTAAGAATCTTGTTTTCCTTTTGTTACAGGGGTCCCCAACCCCTGGGCTGTGGACCAGTACCAATCCATGGCCTGTTAGGAACCAGGCCACACAGCAGGAGGCGAGCGGCAGGCAAGCGAGCATCACCACCTGAGCTCTGCTTCCTGCCAGGTCAGCAGCGCATTCGATTCTCATGGGAGGGTGAACCCTACTGTGAACTGCACATGCGAAGAATCTAAGTTGTGCGTTCCTTATGAGAATCTAACTAATGATGACTTGAGGTGGAAGTTTCATCCCGAAACATTCCCCCATCCAGGTCCGTGGAAAACTGTCTTCCTTGAAACCAGTCCCTGTTGCCAAAAAGGTTGGGGATTGCTGGTTCAGAAAGCTTTAACGTTACATCCAACTATCCTTTCTATTCAGATCATGTGACAGAGTTTCCAAAAATGGTAAACCACCTGTTTCCCTCTGGTCCTGCAGAAAAAAAATTAAACCAGTACTGTGGTCTCTTTAAACAGTTTATTTCTGAGAAGAACCTTCAAATGCGAGCACAAGATAATTTTTCCCCCCCAAATCCTAGGCATTTTAGTTCATTTAAAATGGGTTTATGTAATACCTGCAAATGGAACACAAACATACCATTTTTTTCTTTCTTCTCTCAGCCACATGAAGAATTTAGTTTTTGAACATGGTAAAATATTCTTCAGCTATTAATTTCCTGTACATACCTCATAGTCCCTGTTTATATTTTGGGTATTTTTTTTTTTTTAGAGACATTGCACTCCACATAGACTCGCTCTGTACCTAGTCTGGAATGCAGTGGTGTGATCACGGCTCAGTGCAGCCTCAAACTCCTGGGCTCAAGCAATCCTACTGCCTCAGCCTCCTGAGTAGCTGGAACCACAGGCATATGCCACCATGCCCAGGTAATTTTTTTTTTTTTTAAGAGATAGGGTCTCCCTATATATTCCCTGGGCTGGTTGGTCTCCAACTCCTGACCTTCAACAGTTCTCTTGCCTTGGCCTCCCAAAGTGCTGAGATTACAGATGTGAGCCACCATGCCCAGCTCTGTTTACATTTTTAAAAACCATGTCGCCACACAAGCGAGCATTTTTTATTCAGTTAAATCAGATTGTTTAAAAACCTTAACTGTGAGGCTGGGCACAGTGGCTCACACCTGTAATCCTAGCACTTTGGGAGGCCGAGGTGGGCGGATCACCTGAGGTCAGGAGTTCGAGACCAGCCTGATCAATATGGTGAAACCTCGTCTCTACTAAAAATACAAAAATTAGCCGGGCATGATGGCACGCACCTGTAATCTCAGTTACTCAGGCTGAGACAGGAGAATTGCTTGAACCCCGGCGGCGGAAGTTGCAGTGAGTCGAGATCTCACCATTGCACTCCAGCATGGATGACAGAGCGAAACTCCATCTCAAAAATAAAAAAACAAAAACCTTAACTGTGGCATACATACTGAGATGTAAAAAAAGATTCTAGAGCCACCCACAGTCCTTGGCTGAAGGCCTCCTTCCCTCATCTGCAAAGCCAGCAATGCTGCATCCGTGCCTTCTTCTGTAGTCACATCTTCCTCTGGCTCTCTTCTGCCTCCCTCTTCCACTTTAAAGGTTCTTTCTAATTATATTGGACCCATGCAGATAATCCAAGATGATCTCCCTATTTTAAGGTCACCTGATTAGCCATCTTAATTTCCCCTTGCTATGTAACCTAACACATTCACAGGTTCTGGGCATTAGGATGTGATGTCTTGCAGGGTGGGTACTATTCTGCCTAGCAAACACGTGAATGCAGTGTTCCGAGGTGTTTCTCAGGACTTACAAGAGTCACTTTAATACTAAAGATAATATACATTCTCTAAGGAAGAGGAGTTTGCAGACTATCCAGTGTTTTCAATATATCTAGATGTTTCAACCTGAGGAAGCTGATTACTATATATATATATATGGAGAGAAAGAGAATATATATACACTCCATAGAGTATATATACACTATATATATATACTGTACTCTCTAGAGTATATAGACTATATATAGTGTATATATAGAGTATATATACTCTATACATATCTGTATAGTATATATATACACTCTATAGTGTATATATATACTGTAGAGTATATAGTATATATAATATATAGTATATATAATATATATACTTTATAGAGTGTATACTCTAGAGTGTGTATACTCTAGTGTATATATATATACACACTAGTATATATACTGTATATGGAGTGTATATATATACTCTATATAGTGTGTGTGTGTGTGTATATATATACACATATATACTCTCTCTATATATATGACATGTTGAAATTACTATACATTTCTAGAAGCAAAGACTAAGAGTCTGTAGTCCCAAGGAATTATTCAGTGACTTTGCAAGTCTATGTACTAAGAATAATTCTGATTTAAATGTCAGAATCTGGCTCAGTTTTTGTTTTAACCTTTTTTTTAAAATTTTTAATCAGTGTTATGTATACACATGGTAAGTAACTCCATGGTATAGAAAAACTGATGATGGAATTCAATAGGTGCACTCTGCCTTTCCATTCCCAAGCCCACGCTCTAGAGCAAGCCTGGTATAGCTTTTGTTTTCAGTTCTTCTGAGGGTTAAATAAAACGAGTAGGTAGTTTTGTGAATTAATATTGCCTTATAATTTTAAGTATAGTACATGACCCAGGTGGAGTGCTTTAGATACAGATGTATGAGTGATTAGTTGCAGGAAACACAAACTACTGTAGCTAGCCACATTTAAAAGGACTGTAAAACAGGGAACTGGATGCTTGCAATATTGTCACAAGGGCTAGGAGTGGGTTCCATACTGGGTCTCCAGAATTAACTCCCAGAAAAACACTGCAGGTCTGTCTGGCTTGCCAGAGGCGCTGCTACCCCACAATAATGAGAAAGGTGAAGAATCAGGGTTGCATCCACCACGCCACTTGCCTCAACAACTGACTGCAAGAATTCTGCTGCAGGGAAATTAAATGTCTCCTCAACCACACATGCCACCAGAACACAAGCAAGAGGAAGATGGCTCTCTCCTCAGTTCTGCATTCCAAATCTCACACATGGGTGTCTGATCAGTGGAACCCAATTCACATCTGGAAATCTACCTGCAAAGGGAGTCTGGGAAATGTGGTTATTTTCTCACCTTCCAGCCCCTGCATTATAGGAAGGCACACTAGGAGAGCAGAATGGACACTGAATACCAAATCACCGTATCATTGTATCTACATTTATCCACCTCTTTGGCTAGTCAATATCCATACCATTGTTTATGAATTCAATGCATTCATAAACAATATATGAATATTGTTTAATATTCTTCTGTATAACAACAGCAACTATAACATGCTAATGTAAGTACGATATTTCCCTTCTTTATCAAAGGAGAGCTATAAAGATCCATCAATCACAGGGTGGTGTTTATTCCTCTTCTCGTTCAGTTATACCCTCACCTTGATATCTCTATCCTAAAAATGAAATGATCAAGTTGATTACCACCAATACAATTTACTTAACACAATATTGGAAAAGAGAGGAGGCTGGGCATGGTGGCTCACACCTGTAGTCTCAGCTACTCAGGAAGCCCTGGAGTTTGAGACCAGCTTGGGCAACAAAGGAAGACCTCATCTCTACTAAAAATCAAAATTAGCTGGGCATGGTGTTGCATTCCTGTAGTTCCAGCTACTCAGGAGGCTGAGGTAGGAGGATTGCTTGAGCCCAGGAGATCACGGCTTGATCATGTCACTGCACTCCAGCCTGGGCGACAGAACAAGACCCCCATCTCTTAAAATTTCATCTCGCAGCCAGGTGTAGTGGTGCATGCCTGTAGTCTCAGCTATTCAGGAGGCTGAGGTGGGAGGACTGCTTGAGCTGAGTAGTTCAAGTCCATACTGGACAACATGGCAAGACCACCATCTCTTGAAAAAGAAACTTTTGGCTGGGCACAATGGCTCACGCCTGTAATCCCGGCACTTTTTGGGAGACCGAGGCAGGCAATCACCTGAGTTCGGGAGTTAAAAACCAGCCTCACCAACATGGAGAAACCCCGTCTCTACTAAAAATACAAAATTAGCCATGGTGGCACATGCCTATAATCCCAGCTACTTGGGAGGCTGAGGCAGGAGAAACGCTTGAACCCAGGAGGCGGAGGTTGCGGTGAACCAAGATCGCGCCACTGTACTCCAGCCTGAGCAAAAAGAGCAAAACTCTGTCTCAAAAAAAAAAAAAAAAGAAAAAAGAAAAAAAAAGAAACTTTCATGATGTAATGTTTTCTTGCTTTGCATGTTTCTGTTCTGACATTTGTACTTAGGATTTGTTTTAATCAGCAATGGTGACACAGAAACAATTGCCTATGGAAGATTACTTTCATCTCCCAAGAGGGCGTGCCATGCCACACCAGGCCACATGAGGAAACACCAAAGTCAGTCAGGCAGTAAAGAAGCAAGTGAAAAGCCTAGGCCAGAGCTTTGTTGCTACAGTGGTTGAAAGGTGTGGGGACACCCACTATTGGGCAGGAAGTGAAATACTATATGTTGGGGTTTGTGGTTGGAGGGACTGTAATGTGATGTTTGCACACCCATAAAAGCTGGATTGTAAGGGAAAGCTAAACAACTTTTGTTGTTAGTTTGGCCCTGTGATTAATGGATGCTAAATACATAATCTAAGGAAACATGGAACTTCTTCTTCTGAAAATGTAGGTTTATGTCTTTTTAAAAATAAATTTATATAATAGCCTTAACCTTTGAGACTTATTTTCCTCTTTGAACAATAAATTAGTATATTTTCTCTTCTGTCTACCACTTTATTTTGGTTGATATTATTTATGTGTTGACTTTTGTGAAATGTTTTAAATTCTATTAATAGATTTTTTTTCAGCTTTAAATATCTCTTATTTAGTTTGGAGAAAGAGTCTCACTCTGTTGCCCAGGCTGGAGTGCAGTGGTACGATCTTGGCTCACTGCAACCTCTGCCTCCCGGGTTCAAGTGATTCTCCTGCCTCAGCCTCCTTAGTGGCTGGGACTACAGGCACACACCACCATGCCTGAGTTATTTGCTTTAAATATCTTTTAACTCCTAGCTTTTAAAGACTTCACTATATTTATACTACTATCTACTTTCTCCATTTTTTTTTTTTTTCTTTAAGAGACAAGGTCTTGCTCTCTTGCCCAGGCTGGAGTGCAGTGGTATAATCATAGCTCACTGTAACCTCAAACTCTCGGGCTCAAGTGATTTCCTACTTCAGCCTCCACAGTAGGTAGGACAATAGGCATGCACCACCGTGCCCAGCTAATCTATTTTTTGTAGAGATAGGGTCTCAATGTGTTGCATAGGCTGGTCTCAAAACTGGCTTCAAGTGATCCTCCTGCCTCGAACTCCCAAAGCTCTGGGATTATAGATGTGAGCCACTGCACCTGGCCCCTTTTGATTCCTGATTTTTCCTTCCTCACTTAAAAATTTACATTGTGGTCTATGGCAATAGTCTCCACATCTTAGTTCTGGTCCTATAGTTAAACATCTGATATACACTGCCAGTTCTTTTTATTTACATTTTCCATTCATCTTCGTTTGCGGGAAGCCGTATTTTAGTAGATTCTCCAACAATGGTTCACATTTCCTGAGTTCTTGTATGTTACAAAGTGTTTGTTGGATTTATACATGATTGATAGTTTGGCTGGCAACCCTGTAACATTTGAATCCTCTCACAACATATGAGAAATTCTGGTCTTATTGATCCCACCACCTGAAAGTAGAACCAGGAAAACTCCCTAGCAGCCTATGAAAGGGGCATATAACATACCCTTTTTCAATCAGATGTCTTTGTATGCAACTTCTTTTTTGAATTCAGCAATTTAGGGAGGCATCTCATGCAGAATCCTTTTGTTGCTGTTCCGGTGCGGGTGGGGGCATTCTTCTACCTATTCCTGCTGCAGAAGTGGCAAAGGTGGGGCAGGGAGGCAGCAGCACTTTCTTCCAGTGCCCTGTGTGGCAGTGGAGTGTCAGCAGCTTCTTCCTTAGTCCAATTCTAAGGCATGGTTTTACAAATTGCTGCTGGAAGCTTACCCTCCTGGTTCACCTGCCTTCTAATAATTCCGTGAGCCAAACAAAATTCTTTCAAAAAACTTCTCCTGCTTAATCAGTCTGTTTCTATTGTTTCAAGCAAGACTACAAACTACAGCCTGTGGAATAAATGAGACCTATTATTAAATAGCTAAAAACAAAACTCAAGTATTTTGTATTCTTGACATGGGAAAATTTTATGAAATTCAAATTTTAGTGTCCATAAATAAAGTTTTATTGGAACACAGAATATGTAATATATTCATTGGTTTATGTATTTGTCTGTATGCCTACATCTGATATGCAAAACTATGAAATATTCATACATATAAAAGGCAGGTCAAAAATACAACTATAAAAAATTTATAAGTAATTTACTTTTAGCCCTTTGGAGAATTTATTTAACAATTAACACATGGCTACCACTACAATTTTTTTTATTTTTTTGAGTCAAGAGTTACTTTATTGCCCAGGCTGGAGTGCAGTGATTGGTGTGATTGTGGCTCACTGTAACCTCAAACTCCTGGGCTCAAAGAATCCTCCTGCCTCAGCCTCACAAGTAGCTGAGACTATAGGCATGTGCCACCATACCCAGCTAAGTTTAAATTTTTTTTTTTTTTTTTTAAGAAATGGGGTCTTGCTATGTTGCCCAAGGTTGGTCTCGAACCCTGGCCTCAAGGAATCCTCTCACCTCAGCCTCCTGAGTCACTGTGATTACAGTGTGAGCTACTGCATCTGGAGACTTTATCACTTCTTAAATTAGTTTATTATATTTAATGCTTTTTTCCTATTATAATACTTTTGGGACATCATTTTTCAGAGAACAGTATTTGACTGTGTGTGTGTGTGTGTGTGTGTGTGTGTGTGTGTGTGTGTGTGTCTGTCTGTCTGTGCGTGCACGCATATCTTCACTGAGATGGCTTTAATCTGCAATAAACCCAGGAGGCCCTAACTTGGTGAAGTCCTTTTACATAGTTTGAAGCTGGTAAACTTTTGGGCCTTTTTTCAAGAGGTAACCCTGGTCATTTAGTGATCCAATAAAATTTTCAAAATCAGCAACCTGGAAGAAAACATCAAAAGGTTTAGCCCATTAAGTAACATGTCAAAATATTACTTTTAAAATAAATCTCTCAAATAATAATATGTACCTGTAAAGTTTCTTGGCCAAATAAAATTATTTTTATTTCTTACAGAGCAAACTGCCTATATTTGAGTTCTGGATTCTATAATGCCTAAATAAATAAAAAGTAAAAATTCCAATATGCAGAGAATATTTTACATTTGTTTTAGGTTAGCTGAAAAAAATCAAGCTAACTTTTGAAATTAAGAAGTTAATTTTCCATAATGTGTAACAGCCCATGTTTGAAGTGCTATTACATTGATTTTCACGAGAACTTTGAAGTAGGAATTGGTATAATCATGTCCATTTAACAGATGAGGGATGCAACGTTAAAAGATGTTAAAATGACATATCCACAAGAGACAGTCAGAAAAACATAGAGACTGTCTTACTACAATGTTTCCCTCTGACTATCAAGATGCTGAAAACCTTTGAGAAGAAGCAGGTATGAATTTTAAATAAGTAAAAACTGTTTCTGTTCTACTATATATTAACAAGGACCTCCTGAAATTATTACAAAAGAGATTAACTAGTTTAACATACCTGAATGTTTAGTTCTTTGGCAATCTGCCGAAGTTGATGAAATTGAAATATATTATTATAAGTTCTTTCAGCAACGTTGTTGAGAGCAGAAATAAATCTTTTCGCTGTTGACCTGTTGCTCATTCCAGAACCATGCTGGGATCGCTCAAAATCTAGGTTCCCAAATTCATCAGAGTAAGTTCCTAGCATGCTTAAAAAGAAAGGAAGAAAAAATTACCCAATGTAGCACTGCCATAGAAATTGTTGTCCTGGGCTTTCAGGTTACAGAAGAAAAATTTGGAAGTAGCCACAAGGCTCACTTAGCAAACATTTCAACATGTGTTTATTGAGGGGCCACTCTGAAATTCACTATGATGGATTGATAAGGAATAAAAATATTTTGGACACAGTTACTGCTTTTAAGAAACTTCTAAATTTGGAGAGAGAAATGCATAAAAACACAAAATTGATAAACTACAATATAAATACCTGGGACATTCTTTTTGATTCATGAAGAAAAGAAATTCTAAATATAATAAATTTAGACTTCACTAAATAAAAATGTGTCCCATCTCCTGGAGCAGCATCTGGCCGCACCAGTATTTTAAATAAAAGGTATTTAAAATACTCTAGGAATGAACTAGAAAGGTTATGGTGAGTTGCAGTGATACTGGTTAGATATTAAAGGATGCACCTATTACTGCCAGATTTCTTCTGCTTTCTCTAATTTTCACAATATCACCAAGGAAAGAAGTACGTACTTGATAGTGAATTTTAGCTAAAGTCTGAAAACACTAGTTAGAAACATAATTAACCATCCTGTTTAATCCAACTCTATTGCTGATTCCCTGCCTCAACAATGGGATAGCTATATTTCACAGCCAGACTAATTGGCAAAACTGTTATTTAATCAGGAATTAATTAATTAGTCAAATACATACTGGTCACCTGCTGGGCAACAGGCTTATAGTGGTGAACAAAACAGGTATAATCCCTTCCCTTAATGAGCTGCAGGAATGATTTTAATGGGTTATAAACAATAAAGCTTCCTTTTGTTCCTTGAATAGTTAAAAGCCTACGTTATGCAAATAGGAATGAGTCATTCAAATAAAACTATTAAAAATGATAAAACAGTAAGATGGTAAGTGTTTTCCTCTGAAATACAGCATAATCTCTTTTAAGATGAACCTCCCATATGCTTGTTTCTCATGAGAAAGTTGTTAAAAATGCTTTCAGTTAATAATAATAGGTAACATTTATCTTAATTATATTTGTTTAACATAGGCTATCCCACTTAATCCTCCCAGCAATCCTGTGATTTAGGAACTATTCTTATTCCCATTTTACGGATGAAAAAACATTCTTATTAGGTTGGTGCAAGAGTAATAGAGGTTTTTGAAATTGCTTTTCTTATGGCAAAAACTGCAACTACTTTTGCACCAACCTATGCTAAGATTAAAGTGACTTGCCAGAAGTTACACAACTAGTAAGTGGCATATCTCAGATTTGAATCTGCTACACTGCTTCAGATTTTAAAAAGCTATGTAAAATATTTGAGCTAGTTTCCTGAAATAGAAAAAAACAATGATCTTTCACCTTTGAAGGTGGCTCTGTTCTCTTCTGCTACCTAGTATGTTTTCAATTTTAGGAGAAAGCTTATGTGAACTGTCTACTAAATATAAGCATTTAGTTTTTTAAAATACAGCTAAGTGCTCTGGTAACTCAGACAAGCTATGTCACAGTTTAAGAATTTTCTTATTCAACTGTCAGCTTCCCAGTTAAAATGTAATCTTAAAAGGTTTAAAACCACATTAAGGGCAAAGACTGAACGAAGCTGAAGAGATGAAAACTCTGAAATGGAAGATTTAATGAATGAATGAATCATTACTAAGGTCAACTTTACTATCAGTGCAGGACATTTACTGAAGGCCTACTTTATGACAGGCATGATTCTGGGCCCTGGGAATATACTGGTAAATGAGTCAGATAAGGTCCCTGCTCTCATAAACTAAGGAAAGAATGCATGTTGAGCATAACAAACAGATAATTCATAATCTAATTTCATTGTGTTTCACTGGATCTTGATCTCTACCATGAACATAGTGTCAGGTAATTCCAATCAAACTATTTTCTTTTTCCTGAAAATTTTTATGAATGCCAGTAAACATACTGAGACAATTCAGGGAAACAATCTGGTAATGTCATGTGGGTACTGTTTACACTTAATAATAAGACCTCTTTTTTTCAGGGGCCCAGATGTAAACTGATCTGAAACTTGTTCAAATTTACCACCAAAGCAACTCTGGGAAGCAGTACAAATACAGAGTTCCATGAGACAACACTTAAGAGTTCCTCTTGGACAGGAAAGCACATGCAAACACTGTCCAACATGAGTATTCAGACATGCAGAGAAATCTTATACCAAGTATAACCAACCATAAATGGGCAATATAGCATTTTTACTGAAAAGGTAAATATAGCCTAATTTACTCTGCTTAAGCATGATGCTCAGATAGGAGAACTAATCTACCGTGTCCACAGACCAGTGAATTTACTGTGGGGAAACAGTAAACAGTTGAGGTGACGTCTATGGTCTAAGGCCTGCAGAAATTGAGCAATGGTAAAGCCTCAAGAGGAGAATGTTACAGGTTAAGAGAGAAAAGGAGCAGGGTAGTGTACCCCTTAGTTTGCTCGACAGATGAACAGTCTACAAAGTAGAAACATGACATTCAGGAGAGCCAGGCACCAGAAGACCCAGAGGGCCAGAGATCATTAAAAGGAAAAAGAAATCAGGAGTGGGAATCTCAGCCACACTCCCAAAGGTGGAGTGTTCAAGTGCAGGATGCAGAGAAAGCAAGATGCACACATTCTAGACTGTAAGTCAACAAGCAACTTCTCATCATTAAATAAGAAGTGCCTATTTTTGGTCTTTGTTTTTTTTATAGGAAAAAAAGTTAAAATTAAAAAAAATTCTGAAATTTTGGTTGGGTTGTGACTTACTTTCCTAATGGGAAAAAATATCTCTGCTAGGTCAGTCTCTAGTCTGGTCTCTTAGAAAGCCATACCCACAAGAAGTCAGGCAGACAACTAGATTTTGTGGCCATTCTTTTACTTCATATGCTAGCACACCATGCCCCTAGCAGCAAGTTGTATGAGAAAGTCTAGTAAATTCCTAGACTATCTGGTTGCTTATAAATGGCAACTAGAGGGTCTCCAACATAATGAGATCAACTGGAGAGGGACTAAAGCCAGGTTGGTAAAATTTTCAGCTACAAGATCCCTCAAACCCTAGTACTGAATCACATAAAGAGAGAAAATTGATGGGTCAAGGACTGTGTGATGTCAGGCGCGGTGGCTCCCACCTGTAATCCCAGCACTTTGGGAGGCCAACGTGGGCAGATCACCTGAGGTCAGGAGTTCAAGACTAGCCTGGCCAACTTGGCAAAACCCCGTCTCTACCAAAAATACAAAAAAATTAGCTGGGCGTGGTGGCAGGTGCCTGTAATCCCAGCTATTCAGGAGGCTGAGGCAGGAGAATCGCTTGAACCCAGGAGGCAGAGGTTGCAGTGAACTGAGATCACGCCACTGTACTCTCCAGCCTGGATGACAGAGTGAGACTCTGTCTAAATAAAAGAGAAAAAAAAAAAAGCACTGTGTGATGCCATACCAATAGGATACTTAGACACAGAAGGTAAGTTGTTAGAAATTAGCTCAAAGGGTTGGGAGTCAATAATTATTAATTTTTCTTATTATGAGGCAGTTACTTTGGTGCCACCAATAAAAAATTAAGAGCTGTCAATTCTAGAATCTTTAAAGCTTTCAAAGACAGCCAGTAGAACCTCACGGTTGCTTACAAACTCTGAGACTGAATTAAGGAGAAAGGTTCCTCTTCTTCCATGGACTCCCTCTAAGGGCAGGAAACAACCTGCAGATTCTTGTACCTTCAGGAGGTGACATGGGTGCCCTTCTACCCATCTGCATACCTCTAGAGGCAGCAGAGAGAAGACAGCAGCCTCCAGGGATGGGGCAGTACCAGGCTGGGGACAAAGAGACAACTAGGTAAAGTCTCTCCCTATGAGGAAAAGACAAGAAGAAAAGGATCTGCAGCTAAGACATACTGCACAATTTAGATGGAGAGCACTGAGGACTAGACCATAAAAATTCTTTGAAAAGGGTGATTTTGGAAACTTCTTATCTAGGGTGAGATCTGCCAGTTTTTGAGGCCTTTGGTTTATGGTATAACTCAGAGAAAAGGGGATCTGCTCAGCCTCATCTGAGTATCAACAAAACTTACACTATCAGGCCAGGCGTGGTGGCTCATGCCTGTAATCCCAGCACTTTGGGAGGACAAGGCAGGCAGATCACTTAAGGCCAGCACTTTGAGACCATCCTGGCCAACATGGTGAAACCCCATCTCTACTAAAAATACAAAAATTAGCAGGTGTGGTGGCATGCACCTGTAGTCCCAGCTACATGGGAGGCTCAGGCAGGAGAATTGCTTGAACCCAGGGGGCGCAGGCTGCAGTGAGCCAATATCACACCACTGCACTCCAGCCCGGGCGACAGAGCCAGACTGTCTCAAAAAAAAAAAAAAAAGACTTGCGCTATTGATAGTAAACAGTGTTTACTGAGTGTTCTCTAATGTATCAGAACCGTATTCGTCACTTTATTGAGCATCACTGCATGACACCTCAGAGCACAATCCTTTGTGGTGTGTTTTACACCAGAGGAAACTGAGAAGCAGTGTGTAACCTGCCATGGCAGCTCCAGGTTGAACTCCAAAGCCCTTGCTCTTCCAGCTATGCTGCACTTTTATTCACAGCCAAAGGGGAATAGCTGGGCAAAACCACCTGGGCAAAACCACCTGGTTCTGACACCACGCAAACCTCAGAATCAGCAGCTACTAGGACAAAAGAATTCATCTACCTTAGAAGAATTAGAAATTACTTAACAAAATTAGATAATTTCATCTTCAATATATTTTTTGGTCTTGGAAAAGTAGACTCCTAACAGATAATGTATTTTCATTGCTATCAGAGGATATTAAAAATGCATTTTAAATGAAAAAAGCAAGGTATAGCATGTATATGGTATGTTGTTATAGTTACCATTTGTCTACAAAGGGGAAAAAAGAATATATAGATATGTAGTCACACAAAAAACTGCTAATAATTGCCACTGGCTAGCAGGAAGAACGGGGTAACTATTAAGCTGAGTAGGAGGAAACTTTTTCCACTATATACTTTTTTTTTTTTGAGACAGAGTCTTGCTCTGTCACCCAGGCTAGAGTACAGTGGCACAATCTCAGCTCACTGCAACCTCCACCTCCCAGGTTCAAGCAAATCTCCCGCCTCAGCCTCCCAAGTAACTGAGATTACAGGCACTAGCCACCACGCCCAGCTAATTTTTTGTATTTTTAGTAGAGACGGGGTTTCACCATGTTGCCCAGACTGGTCTCGAACTCCTGACCTCAGGTGATCCACTTGCCTCGGCCTCCCAAAGTGCTGGGATTACAGGTGTGAGCCACCATACCTGGCCTATACTTTTTGAACTTTGGAATTTTGAAGCTTATGAAAGTATGGACCTATTAAAAAAATTTTTTTATCTGGAATAAAAAAAACTACCCAAAATAATATTACTGATTTTTAAAAATCTATGTCTAAGGTAAACATATATGCTCAACTAATTTTTCTTTTCTACCTTCTAGGAATCATTATCTACTAAATGATGTAAAATGCAAAGGATACAATTTAGCAATATTTATCAAAAACCTATAGTATTTACTGTTGAACCCAGAAATATCGCTTCTGAGAATTTATCACGTAGGTGCACAACTTACCCACATATGAAGTATCTTACGTAGAACATTACTCATTGTAGCATTATTTAAAAGCACAAGAATGGAAAATATTTATGTGTCAATAGGGGACTGATCAAATATACTATATAGTATATCTACACAATAGAATACTCTAGCTATAAAAAAAGAGTCTCTAATAAAAAAAGATCTCTGGATATATTGTTAAAATTCAAAACCAGTACAGAAGAGTATAAACAGCAGACTGTGGAAAAGCAATGGGTGTCTGGGTGAAGGGCGAGTAGGTGGTAAATAGCTCTTCTCCAATAGGTTTTGGAACTGATTTTAGCACTATGTAAATGTATTACTCATTCAAAAAAATTTCTAATGTAAAGATTATTTACACAGTGAGAAATATTTTAAACTAAGAAACGGTACTCTGTTTAGGAGGAAAATAAGTGACCCAATGGGCTAAATAAAAGTAGCCTTGGCCTATTACCTAATTTGAGATGGGAAGATAACTGGTATTTCATTTAAAACAATTTGAAATTTTTATCTTACCTATATTTCATAATTTCCACTATATCCTCAGCGTCTTCTTTGGTTGCTTCCTCTCTCAATTCCAACCTTGCTCGTGCCTTTAAAAGAAAACACCATTTTCAGATGACGAAAGATGAATATATTTACCATAGTATGTCTAAGCTTTACTTCATTTACTTGTTTTACACAAAAACTGACCTTTAGGCGAGGAAGGTTATAACATCAAAAGTCAAAATATGGAAGTAATTCTCTGGGCTGGGGGTGGTGGCTCACGCCTATAAACCCAGCACTTTGGGAGGCTGAGGTGGGAGGATCACTTGAGCCCAGGAGTTCGAGACCAGCCTGAGCAACAAAGTGAGGACCTGTCTCTACAAAAAAATTTTCAAATTAGCTGGGTGCGGTGGTGTATGCCTGTAGTCCCAGCTACTTGGGAAGCTGAGGTGGGAGGATCCCTTGAGCCTGGGAGGAGAGGCTGCAATGAGGCTTGATCATGCCACTGAACTCCAGCCTAGGTGACAGAGGGAGACCCTGACTCAGGGCAAACAAACAAAAAAAATCTGTGAAACCTTGACTATGAAAATTACAACTCACTTAAAATAAGGATAAACCTCATTTTTACTTGTTAACGTATATTTCTGAGTGATCATTTCAGGAGATTTGATGATGAAATACACTTGGTTTTCCCTTGCCTTTTACTTTTAGGAAATCATACCTAACCAATATGGTAAAACAACAAAGAAGAATTAATCAGATTTTAGGAGCAAAAAGCCCAAACTCTGAGCTAGCTAATTTTTACTGCCAGAGTTCTCTTAGTATTTCAAACTGTGAATAGATATTACTGCTGTTAAAAACACAGGAACTATCCTTGTGGACCTGTCATGTAAAAAAATAAAATACTCAAGATACCTGACACATTCCATGTTCCCATATACTCAACTTGGGTCTCATACTCCTAGTTAACCTAACCACTTTTCAGATATTCCAGGAGTCTCCTAAGAGTCAGTCAAAGAAAAACAAAAGAAAAGTTGCATGCTAAGTAATTGATTCTGTGACTAGAAAGAAGTAGCTATACTTGGATATGTTATAGACATGACAAAATCTTTTAAAAAACTTTCATCCATCCATTTCTAACATCTCTCTATAGAAAGGAAAATGGAGTCAATTATGCAGAAAATACTTCAAAAGAGAAGTCAAGGCACACCCTTCCCCTTTAAGCCAAAAAAAGCATGACCATAAAAAGAAACAAACCTCTGTCAGACGAATCAAAGATTCCAGCTGCCTGGTAGTGATTGGTGAGCTATTTAACCTCTGGCTCTGTTTCCGGAGCTCAAGGTAAAAATCTTGAAGAACTCGAGCAGCTTCTGTGGATAGCCTTGGGTACACATACTGCCGAGCATAGCCAATGTACTTTCTCAATAGCTGGTGGGGAATGGGATCTATTGTTTCTCCAGGAACCACCTGAAGCATGATTAAAAGGCCCAAGATAACAAGGATAAGTAGCAAATAAAATATTTCTGCTAAAATAACTTGTTTAGGCCAGGTGCAGTGGCTCACGCCTGTAATCCCTGCGCTTTGGGAGGCCAAGGAGGACACATCACCTGAGGTCAGGAGTTCAAGACTAGCCTGGCCAACACAGCAAAACCCCATCTCTACCAAAAATACAAAAATTAGCCGGGCGTGGTGGCACGTGCCTGGAGTCCCAGCTACTTGGGAGACTGAGGCAGGAGAATCACTTGAACCCGGGAGACAGAGGTTGCAGTGAGCCAAGATCACACCACTGCACTCCAGCCTGAGCGATAAGAGTGAGACTATGTCTCAGAATAAATAAATAACTTGTTTAGATAAATATACAATTCTAAAAGACTCTCCAAATCAACCAAACACTTTATCTGTAGGTCTCATCTTAGCTGACTTAGATTCCTTTTTTTTTTTTTTTTTGAGACAGTCTCGCTCTGTCACTCAGGCTGGAGTGCAGTGGTGAGATCTCAGCTCACTGCAACCTCCGCCTCCCAGGTTCAAGCAATTCTCCTGCCTCAGCCTCCCAAGTAGCTGGGATTACAGACACGCACCACCATGCCCAGCTAATTTTTGTATTTTTAGTAGAGATGGGGTTTCATCATGTTGGCCAGGATGGTCTCGATCTCTTGACCTCATGATCCACCTGCCTCGGCCTCCCAAAGTGCTGGGATTACCGGCATAAGCCACCACGCCAGGCCGACTTGGATTATTTCAGATGAAGTTTACGTAAACTCTAGTATGGAAATATTAAAAAGTTCTGGTAAAAAAAAAGTTTGTATCCTACTGCTCTACAATAAGCCACACACTGAACTTTGACATTCAAACAGAACCAAACTGAATAAGGAGAAGAAACATTTATACCTTTAGTCTTTCTGATAATGGCTTCTCAGAAACTACTTCAAGTACGGAAGTATTTGAATCTTGACTATTCATACGAGCTACTGTGGCACTGCTAATGGTTCTCTGCTTTCCAGCTCTTATTGCAATCACATGTTCAGAGAGTAAGTGATCATGATGCTCATTTGGAGTATCTAACAGGATAAAGACCAAATCAAATCTGGATAGTAGTGCACTCCCCATTCTATGAAGGATGAAAGAAAGAAGAAACAATGATTGGAATCAAAAGGAAAAACTAGAAAACTGTCTACTCACTTATTTACTACTCAAGTTCCACGCAGAACTTGAAAAACCAAGATTTAGGTTAAAGAAATAAGCAAATAGCTTCTTGGATTCGATATATCCAACCACTGCAACATGGGCACAAGAATTACATGTATCTACCCTGGGTAGGTTGAGGACATGGCTCTTTCTCACACCCCCAAACCCACTGAATTCTTCATGTCCTATTATCACTAATTGGCAATACTGCTACATGACATATCAGAGGTTAGCTAGTTCAGTATTTTGTTCATGATACCATTAAAAAACAGAATCCAAGTCTGCTGGATTTTTGTTCAATAGATCTTTCTGATTTTTCTAATATAGCACTTTGTCATTTTACTAAAGAAAAACTACTAGTAGGTTGATTTTTTTGGTGGTGGTGGTAAATACCCTAAATCTCCAAGTACACATTGTGTATTTCACTATGTATCAAAGACTGTTTCTATATTGATACATTATTAAACAACAAGAAATTAACTCCACCCCCACTAGGCTTAAGGCTCTAATTTTTCAGGAGGTACTCTTTTGTCTTTTTCTCACTTTTGTATCACTTAAATATATTTTTCCTTTTCCACACATTTTGTCCAAGCTGTACAGAATGAATTAGAAGAGAAAGCATACATACAGATATAAACATTGTTTTTGAAAAAAGCAGGATCATACCACATATTTAAGTTTGTTAATGTGCTCTTCTCACTTAATAGTACAGCACAGACATGTTCCCCCATTAGTACATATAAAGCCACTTTCGTTCTCATAATCACTACAGTCTTATTATAGTTTTAAGGTGTTTCCAATGTTTGGCAGCAATAATGCTGCAATACCCATGCTATAAACCTATCGTTGTGCACTTGTATGACTATTTCTGTGAACAGTAGTCCTAAAAGTAGAGTGGCTATAACAAACAGAATGTGCATTTAGAATTGTGATCAACACACCAAGGGGTCCCACAAAATAATAAATTGTGTATGTGAGAAACAATTTCTTTTTCTTTTTTTTTTGACATGGCGTCTCACTCTGTCACCCAGGCTGGAGTGTGGTGGCACAATCTCGGCTCACTGCAACCTCCACCTCCCAGGTTCAAGCAATTCTCCTGCCTCAGCCTCCCAAGTAGCTGAGATTACAGGCGGCTGCCATCATGCCTGGCTAATTTTTGTATTTTTACTAAAGACGGGGTTTTGCCATGTTGGCCAGGCTGTTCTCAAACTCCTGACTTCAGGTGATCCACCTGCCTCAGCCTCCCAAAGTGCTGGGATTACAGGCATAAGCCACCCGCCCAGCCACTGAGAAACCATTTCCACACTACTTTGCCAAAAATGATTAATATTTAAAATGTTTGCCAATCTGGTGGATCTCATTCGTACTTCATTGTTTTACTCTGCAGTGTTTAAGCACATTTTTGTGCATTTATTGGACATTTATAACTTCTGTGAAATATCCATGTTTTTCCCCTGTAGTTCTGTGAACTATTTCTTTTTCTTATTGAATTAAAGTGATTCAATACATTAAAGGTATAAATATTTGAAGAGACTTACTTTAAATTCTCAGAAACTGTTTTGGCTTTATTGTAATGTCCTCCAACTGGATTTGCAGCAGCAATAATGGAAGTTCTTGCAGGAAGGCTACAAACCACACCAGCCTTAGCAAGACTAATACTTTGCTGCTCCATGGCTTCCAACAAGGCTTGATGTTGATTCCCCATCTTATCAAATTCATCGATTCCACAAATACCTACAATCGAAGTAGAATAAAGCAGAAAAAACATTTTTTCTTTGGTCAAGTTCCAAATTTTATAGGATAGAAATTGTTTCACAATAATTATTTCCATTTGTTTCAGCAGTTAAAATTATAAAATGTCATACAATGGAGAATTACTGTTTGTTCTGCAGCAAGTTAATACATTTGTCTTATTTAACTAAGTTTTGTGTAATAGTTCTTCCTTTAGCATTTTTCATACGCACAGCACTATGTTGTGAGGATTACAAAAACGAAGAGGAGGTAAGAGTAATTCTCAAAATGCTTAAGGAGTTAAATTCAAATGGGTGTGATGTTACATACACACACAAACACACATGCACAATTTAATAAGTATACCTCAATACACATATAGTAAGTTTATTATGTTTAATAAGTATATTTCAAAACCTATACCAGGTATTGACTATACACTTGTATGCACTTATAGGGAAATCACTTAATCTCTTTAAACATAATACAATGCACCACCACTAACTAAAGGCACTGTATGTACCAGGAATGTCATGTCTATTGCATAAGTTATTGGAGATTCTCTAACATTACCTCGTAATGCTTGTCTTCCTTTCTCCCCATACCAGTTAGGTTAGTATCTGGGGGTCACATCTGAAGGGCTTTGCTGTGGTTAAACCCCTCCGTATCTACTCTATACCTAAGTAAGCCTTACTAGCACAGAGGAGTATATGGAAAATAACTGCTGATTAGTCTTTTTGATCCCCAGCTGCTAACCTAACTGGTATGGGGAGCAGGGAAGACAAATATTGTAAACTAATGTTAGAGAGTCCCCAATAACTTGTGCAATAGACATGACATTCCTGGCACATACAGTGCCTTTAGTTTATTTCAACAGATTTTCTTCTATCCTTGAATCCATTTCTGGTTTCATGTTTGGGTTTTCTACTTCATGGAACCAATTATGTTGAATTTCCTTTGTTCTCTATCTCTGTTACTTCCCCTCTAATTGTATTAAGCTTTGTTCTTTTGCATTCACTGCAATTATCTCAAGCCTTTCCTCTTTATAATTTCTCATTCAGCAGTGTCAATTTTATATATTAGTTTAATAACATTGTTAGTCATCAATTTGTCTCTCATAGCCTTATCTTTTTGTTTTGAGCTATTTCATTAATGTTCTTATCAAACATGAAACACTCATGGGAAATTTTCATTTGTTCCTTAGATTATAATTTTGTCTACAGTGAGGTCTTTTACTGGGCATATTAAATGTCTTTCTTTCTTCCTACGTTATTTCTTCACAGCTGCTATGCTGTCTCTTTGCCTTGCTCATGTATAATAACGGCTGCTCTGTCCAAACCTATTTCTTCCGACACAGTATATATGAATTCTTGTCAATACGCTTTTCCCAATGTAATTTTGACCCATTTTTTCCTTTCCAGCTACAGTTTGCACTTTTTGGTAACGTAATGATTTAGGAGGGGGAAGCAAGGGGGGCTTTGTTGAACTTTGTGCCACCTTTCTTGCTGATCTCTTCTGAGAGTTCACCCCCCTCTGTTGGGAATGTGTCCCATATTCATGGCAGGGGATCCCAGTGCATTAGCCTGTTCCTGCTGTTCAATGTGGAGCTCTGGGACATAGTGAGCCTTCCCTGCCTGTGCTAAGATCCTAGCAGTGGTAGACTCACAGGCTTTATCTCCACCTTTCCCTGAGCTGCCTATTGCTCCGTCTGCCTATACCTCTCTGGATTCATGGTATTACTGGAAATTATCAAGATTGCTAATGCAATTCCTCAGAGATGGGGTAGGAACAAAGTCAAGCTACTTCCTACTTTGGCTGTCACTTTTCAAAGTATAAAGCAGGAGCTGGTAAGCCTTTTCTGCAAATGTGCAGAAGTATATATTTTAAGTTTCACAGGCCATGCACAACCTTACATATTCTTGGGCTTTTCTGTTTGTTTGTTTGTCCTTTACAATCTTTTAAAAATATATAAGCCAGTTTTAGCTTGTGGACTGTACTAAAACACACTGTTGGCTGGTTTGACCTATGGACCAAAGTTTAATGACCCCTTGTTTTAAAGCATAAAACATAAACTTTGAACTTTTTTTTTTTTTTTTTTTGAGAGACAGAGTTTCGTTCTGTTACCCAGGCTGGAGTACAGTGGCACCATCATGTCTCACTACAACCTCCATCTCCTTGGTTCAAGCGATTCTTGTGCCTCAGCCACCTGAGCAGCAGGGATTACAGGCATGCGCCACCTCACCCAACTAATTTTTGTATTTTTAGTAGAGACAGGGTTTTGCCATGTTGGCCAGGCTGGTCTCAAACTCCTGGTCTCAAGTGCTCTGCCTGCCTCGGCCTCCCAAAGTGCTGGCATTAAAATTTTTTTAAAAAACCTCCAAATCACCTTCTACTTCTAGTTAATGAAGTTGCATGGTTTCATGAGTATCATCTTTTTATTACTATATTTTACCTGGTAACTTAGCAAAGATATTCTCACTTCTGATGAGCTATATAATAACGAGATACATGTTTTTGGTATTTATTTATTCAGCAAATATTTACTAGATATAAATGCAATAAATTTATAAATTCAATAAACTGAATGCCTTCTATATACCAGTACTATGTTCTAGGAATGCCGAGTATGGCACTGAAAAGACAAAATTCCCTGCTCTTGGAAGCTTATGTTCTACTCAGCCAATAGGGGGTCCAGGCAATAAAAAAGTAAACAATATAGAAGGTAAAAAGTGCTATGGAAGGAAAAAGTAGATTAGGGTAAGGAAAATAAGGTCTGCTAAGGTGCAGCAGGGGCAGGGGAGGTTATAAGTTAAAATACGGTATTTAGGGAAGACCTCACTGGGGTCAGGACAGTTCAGCAAAACATTAAGGGGGAAAGAAAACAAGCCTTTGCAGCTCTATCTGGGGTAAGAACATTCCAGGCAAACAGAACAGTAAGTACAAAGGCCCTTATGAGGAAATGTGACGTGCCTGGTGTGCTGGTGGTGTCCAAGGCAGAGCCACCAATGGAGCTAGAGAAGAGGAGACATGGGAAGCAGCAGATAAGGAGGCAAAAGAGGTGAAAGGCCAGAACATGAATGGCCCTGGGCCACTCTCAAGACTTTGGCTTTCACTCTGAGCGAGACGGGCAGTTACTGGAGGGTTATGAGCAAGAGTAACACAATCTAATTTTTAATGAGATTACTGTATTAAAAACAACAGGAAGGGGCAAGCGTGGTTACAGGCATGCCAATTAGGAGATTACAGTAATAATCCATGTGAGACATGATGGTGCCATGGACCAGGGTAATGAAGAAGTGGTTAGATAGCAGATATATTTTGATGGTACAGCCAACAAGATTTGCTGACAGATTAATGTGGGGTATGAGAAAAAGTCAAGGATGGCTCCGTGTTTTCTGATTTGAGCAATTATAATGAGAGTTGTCATTTACTGAGATGAGGAAGACTGTGAAAATAGATTTGAAAGGCAAAATCAGGATTTTAATTTTAGACATGTTAAGTTTGAGAAATTTGTGGAGATACTGTGTAGACAATAAGAAGTATGTGCCTGATATTTAAGGGAAACGAGATTATAAATTTAGAATTTTTCACGGATAGGTAGGTAAAGCCAATGAAACGATACAAGATCACCAAGAAGGTAAATACAGACCCAGAAGACAAAAGGTCCAAGAACTAAGCACCTTAGTTAACAACAGGTAAGAGGTTGTGGAGATGAAGAACCAGTAAACGACTGAGAAAGAAGTAAAGAATGAAGTAAAGTGGCCTGGAAACCAATGAGAGTTTCAAGGGTCTCAAGGAGGAGGGAGTGATTAACTGTGTCAAATGTGGCTACCAGGTCCTGGGTTCAGAATATGGAAGTCACTGGCAAACCAGAAGGAATGAACGACCTTAACTGGACTGGAATCTGGACACTGCCTGACACATGCATGGAAACATGTTTTCCCAATAAGGTGAAGGCATCACAAAGAGAAACTTAGGTGACAAAGCCCAATGTAGAGGTTTCTTCTTGCTGGGCCCTATGCCTGGACTTCTTACCACCTGTCACTCAAATCCTGAAAAAAAACCAATGAGTTCAGTTACAATACGGCAAAACTATTCATTCTGAAGTAGGCCAGGTGTGGTGGCTCACGCCTGTAGCCTGTAATCTCAGCACTTTGGGAGGTGTGGTGGGTGGATCACTTGAGGCCAGGAGTTCAAGACCAGCCTGGCCAACATGGTAAAACCCCGTCTCTACTAAAAATACAAAAATTAGCTGGATGTGGTCACGCACACCTGTAATCCCAGCTACTCAGGAGGCACGAGAATGGCTTGAACCTGGAAGGCAGAGGTTGCAGAAAGCTGAGACTGCACCACTGCACTCCAGCCTGGGTGACAGAGCAAGACTCTGTCTCATAAAAAGAAAAAAACATCGAAAGTAACACCTGTAATCTCCTATTGCAAGTCCTCTGTGAGCAAAGGATGACATCCACCTTTTTGTCAGTGCCAAGGTTTCCAAACTATTTAGAGCTAAATCATAGTAACGCATTCAATAAGTATTTACTGTGCCCCTATGTACTAGGCAATGGGAACATGGCAGTCCACAAGACATCCAAATCCCACCATACAGGGAGCTTACTACAAAGCTTCAAAACAGGCTTTTAAAAAAAATGATCACAAATATGATAGGTGGTATGAAATGGGAAGTTCAGGGAGCTACACATATTTATTTGATTTTTACATATACTTGTATCGGCTATAAGATTCTGAAAATGAATGACATTAAGTACAGTTCCAATTCTGTAGTATAAAAATGATGATACTGCATTTCCAATGATTATTTCTGACAGTGTCAACTTACTGGTTAGGACTTTGCTATCTAAATGTTTCTCTTAAACAGAATGTAAAGAAATTAACTGAAAAGGAAAAGGCTTTTCAAAAAGTCCCAGAATCACTAATTATTCCCTTTGGCCTCTCACCTTGATCACCAAGTACCAGGGCACCAGCTTCCAAAGCAAAATCTCCAGAGGAACTATCTTTTGAAAGAGTTACCGTCAGACCAGAGGTGGTCGTGGTGTTACCACAAACATACACGCCACGTGGGGCAACATTGCACGCTGCCTAAGGAAACAAAAAGTTTAAGAGAATCATCCAAAGTAAAAGGGAAGTAATAGCTAACAGCAGTTGCTCACAAACGTTAGGTATATGCTAGGTATTCTTTTAAGAGCTTTAGTGTACAAGGTGCACCATCACCAGCAGAGAAAGGTATTATTATATCCTGATTTACTGATGTCAAAACCAAGGCCAACAAAGAGTGAATGAGGAACTACACAGCTATCAAGGTGGAAAGTCAGGATTCAATCAAACCCAGGCAGTCAGATTCTGAAGTCTGTGGTCATATAAATACTCAACACAATTCCAATTTATGCTTCATTTTCAAGTTCGAAAAGCAAAAACATGAGTACCAATTTTAATTTTGAAGGTTCCAATGCTTCTTTAAACATCAGGTAATAAAGTGACTTAATACATGCTCACCTTCTGAGCAAACATGCTATAACAGGCCAGAAAAGTAAACAGCACAAGAGTTAAAAGCATAGCTCTCTGGAGTCAGACAGACCTGTTTAAATCGTGGCTCCACCATGCACCAGCTGTGTGGCTCTCAGACCTCTCTGAGCCTCAGCTTCCTTATGTTTTATCACAGCATTGCCCTGAACAATAAATGAAATCATGTATGAAAGGCATTTAATTTGGTACCTGGCACATAAGTGCCCAATGTAAAACTGCCGTGTATGGCAGTGCACTGCCCAATTCTAGGGGACAGTATTCACATCTCAAACACCCACTGTTATCCTATGCTGCTGGCTCAATAAATAGTAATTATCATTATTTTTGTTACTTATATAGTCTTTCTGAGAAACCTTATAACACACAGAGTATGATGGTTTACTAGGTGGTAAGAAGAAAACACAAAAATATAAAGTAAATGGTTCATAACAGTTGGTGTTAGCCTAATTTTTAATTTGTTTTGTTATATTTATTATTTTTGAGGCAGGGTCTCACTCTGTCGTCCAGGCTGGAGTGCAGTGGCACAATCCTAGCTCACAGCAACCTTGAACTCCTGGGCTCAAGTGATCATCCCACCTTGTGATATCCTACCTTGTTTTAACCCGAGTGACTCTCTCCTAGCAGAGAGAGAGCCGGACAGACTCCATTTTAGCTTCTTCACTTGTAAACCCTTTCACCTCCCTCCAGGCATAGCTAGTGTAAAACTGACTCAAAGCACGTCCAGGAATGCACCTGTTGATGAGATGCTGAGGCGAGTTGCACCAGCAGCTCCTGGGGGCACGCGCAGTGCATGGCACCCAAAACCCCTACATTTATCTCTTTGTGATAGTTTAAGCCCCGGTACCTGGAACTGTTTATTTTTTTGTAACTGCATTTGTAACCAATTAATTTTTTTAACTTTCTGCCAGTTCTGCTTCTGTAAAAATTGCTTCAGCTAAAATCCCCCCTCCCTATTTAGACCATGGTATAAAAACAAAACTAGCCCCTTCCTCGGGGCTGAGAGAATTTTGGGCGTGAGCTGTCTCTGGGTCGCTGGCTAATAAAGGACTCTTTAATTTGTCTCAAAGTGTGGCGTTTCTCTATAACTCGCATGGTTACAACAACCTCAGCTTCCCTAGTAGCTGGGACTATAGGAGCATGCCACCATGACTGGCTAATTAATTTTCTGTAAGAAACAAGGTCTCACTATGTTGCCCAGGCTGGTCTAAAACTTCTAGGCTCAAGTGATTCTCCCACTTCAGCCTCCTGAGTAGCTGGGACTATAGGCACATGCCACCACACCTAATTTTTTTTAAAATTGTTTTTAGAGATGGGATCTCACTATATTGTCCAGCTTGGTCCTCCTGCCTTGGCCTGCCAAAGTGTTGGGATTACAGGCATGAGCCACTGCACCCAGCCTGTTAGTCTCGTTTTTAAAAACCCTGGCTTAGTGTGGCTTACATGCCATACTCTATTCAGGATGTTTAATTTCCACTAACATTACAGATTCTATTTTTAAATTGAGCCAAAGGCATTATTCCAGGTCTGAAAACAAGAAAAACTGCCAATGTAACTTCTTGGTATTAACACTTTCAATACCACTGGACACATTTTAGAACAACTATCTGCCAAGAAACATTTATTAAAAAAAAAAAAAGGCCAGGCGTGGTGGCTCATGCCTGTAATCCCAGCACTTTGGGAGGCTGAGGCGGGCGGATCACAAGGTCAGGAGATGGAGACCCTCCTCGCTAACATGGTGAAACCCCGTCTCTACTAAAAATACAAAAAATTAGCCGGGCGTGGTGGTGGGCGCCTGTAGTCCCAGCTACTTGGGACGCTGAGGCAGGAGAATGGCGTGAACCCGGGAGGCGGAGCTTGCAGTGAGCCAAGATCATGCCACTGCACTCCAGCCTGGGCGGCAGAGCGAGACTCCGACTCAAAAAAAAAAAAAAAAAGAGCAAAAAAAGGAAGTTTTATATACTGCAAGCAGTATGTATAAATTATGAGATTTGTACAGATAAGACACT